>NT_167245.2:1157905-1332276 GCF_000001405.40 Homo sapiens
GAGCATAGCCCAATCCAGAGTCAGTGATTTTCCTGTCAAGATCCATTGGCAGCTCCTTTGGGGTTGCTGGCATCATTCTGGCTTGCCAGGTATTATGATCAAAGCCTTCCCACTAGAGAATCTGTCACATCTCCATCTGCTGCCTCTGTCTGTTTTCTTGACCAACAGTGAAAAAAGAGATTATGAGAAATAAGATAAATTACCAAAATTGTGAACAAAAGAGATTATCACTAATGACCCTTAGGAAGTTAAAAAACATTATAAGTGAATACTCTGAAAAACCTGAAGCCAATAAGTTAGACCACTTAGATAAAAAGGACCAATTCGTGCAGAGATAGAAATTGCCAAAACTGACCCAAATTAACTGGAAAACCTGAAGAGAACTGTGAACTAAGTCAGAAATTGAAAAACCTTCTCAAAAAGAAATGCCAAAGCCCAGATATCTTCACTGGTGAATTCTATCAAATATTTTGAAAGCTCTTTCAGACAAGAAGAGAGGAGGGAAGACTTTCCAGCCCATTTACAGAACTGGCATTACCCTCATATCAAAGTCACAGCAAGACTCACAGGAAAAGAGTGCCATACACCAGTGTCACCAATAAACATAAATGAAAACATCCTTAACAAACATTGGCAGATAATACAAAGCCACATAAAAAAGGATTACACTCCATGACCAATGGGATTCATCCCAGGAACATATGGTTGGATTAACATTTGAAAATCAATTCATGGAATGCACTGTATTAATGGAAAAAAAGACATAATTATCTCAAAAGATGCAGAAGAAACAGTTGACAAAAATGTTAACATCACTCATGTTCATAAGTTTCAACAAAATAGGAATGGAGGAGACCTTCTTCACTCTGATAAAGCGCATCTATAAAAAACCCACAGCTAAAATCAAACTTAATGAAGAAAGACTGAAGACTGAATGCTTTTCTCCTAAGATGGGGATCAATGCAAGGATGTCCAATCCCACCACTTTTATTTAATATTATACTGGAGATTGTAGCCAGTGCAATAAGGCAGAAAATTAAAAATTAAAGGCATCCAGATAAAAAGGAAAACATACAATTCTATTCACAGATAACATGACCCTGTCTGTAGAATTCACAAGCAGATAAAAACTGGCTAGCACTAATAAATGAATCCAGAAGGGCCCATAGGATATCAAATCAATATAAAAATTAATTATTAACATATTTCTCTATAGAAGCAATGAAAATCTCAACTTTCCTATCACAGTAGTTACCAGAAGAGCGAAATAGGAATAAATTTAGGAAGACAGCAGTGTTTGTTCACTGAAAATAAAAAAACATTCCTCAGAGAAATTAAAGGTCTAAATAAATGGAGAGATGCGAGTTGGAAAGCTCGATAATACTGTTAAGATGGCAATTCTCCCCCAGTAGATCTATAGGTTCAACACAATCCCTATCAAAATCCCAGCAGGGATTTTATAGAAAATTGACAAAATAAGCCGGGCGCGGTGGCTCATGCCGGTAATCCCAGCACTTTGGGAGGCTGAGGCAGGCGGATCATGAGGTCAGGAGATCCAGACCATCCTGGCTAACACGGTGAAACCCCATCTCTACTAAAAATACAAAAAACTAGCCGGGCGTGGTGGCGGGCTCCTCGGGAGGCTGAGGCAGAAAAATGGCATGAACCCGGTAGGCGGAGGTTGCAGTGAGCGGAGATCATGCCACTGCACTCCAGCCTGGGTGACAGAGCGAGACTCCGTCTCAAAAAAAAAAAAAAAAGAAAAAAAGAAAAGAAAATTGACAAAATAATCCTAAAAATGTATATTAAAATGCAGAGGATGCAGAAGGGCCAACACAAATTTGAAAAAAAAAATGGAATGTCATATGAAACTACAATAATCCAGACAGTGTGAAACTGAGAGACATAGAGATCAATGAACAGAAGTGAGAATCTAGAAAGATATTCTTACTTTCTTTGTCAATTGATTTTCAATGAAGTTGCATAGGTAACACAATGTTACATTTAACACCATATAAAATATCAGCTCAGACAAATTAGAGACCTAAACAGCTAAAATTTATGAGTTAAAACTATAAAATTTCTAAAAGAAAACACAGGAGAAAATTTTTATTACTTTGGGTAGTTAGGCAAAAGATTCTTAGATAAAATACCAAAAGCATGATCTACAAATAAAAAAAAAAGAGAGAGAGAAATTGGGCTTAGTTAAAATTTAAAACTTGAGTGCTCCAAAAGACATTGAGAGAATGAGAAGACAAGCCATAGACAGGGAGAAAATATTTCACAATTTATCACAAATTACATTTGTGTTGAAGAACATGTTTCCAGAATAATGTGGCAAGTTCTTAAACTCAATGTGTAAGAAGATGAGCAACTCAACTGAAAATGAGCAAAACACACAAATATGCTCAACTGACATTTACAAAAGCACAAACACAATTCAATGAAGGAAGGAGAGCTTTCCCAACAAATGGTGCTGGAGCAACTGGACAACCACAGTGGAAAAAAAATAGGCTGAGCCCAAACCTCACGCTTTATACAAAAAAAAAAAAACTCAAAATGAATCACAGGCTTTAATGTAAAACACAACACACAGTTAAAATTACAAACATTGAGCCAGGTGTGGTGTCACAGGCCTGTACTCTCACCTACTCAGGAGACTGAGGTGGGAGGATCCCTTGAGCCCAGGAGTTCAAGGCCAGCCTAGGCAAGATTTTTTTTTAAATAAATAACAAATACATTAAAAAATTAAAATTACAAATCTTTTAACAAAAAGCCATCAGAACTAAGACTAGACAAAGAGTTCTTACACATAACACCAAAAGTATGATCTGTAAAAGAAAAAGTTACTAAACTGGATCTTATCAAAATTAAAACTGTTGCTCTGTGAGAGACCTATGAAGAGCATAAAAAGACAAGCTACAGAATGAGAGAAGATATTTGCAAACCACATATTCAATAAAGACTTGCATTCACAATATATGAAGAAATGTAAAAACTCAACAGTAAAAATGAAATCCAAATAAACAATAGGCAATGAGCAAGACATGAACAGACGTTTCACTGAAGAGGATAAACACCAGGCTAACAAACAGATGAAAAGACACTCAACATCACTATCCAGTAGGAAAATACAAATCAAAACTGCAGTGATGAGAATGGCTGAAATACAAAATAAAGGTAGCAACAGATGCTGGCAAGGTTACAGAGAAACTGGATCATTCATATTGCTGGTAGGAATGGATTTTAAAATGGTACAGCCACTCTGGAAATGGATATTGCAGTTTTCTTCAAACTGAACATGCAATTTACCATATGACTAGAAATTGCCCTCCTAGGCACTTATTTCAAACAAGGGAAAACTTTATGTTCATGAAAAACCTGTATACAAATACTCTTGCAGCTTTATTCATAATACTCCTGGAAGTAATTATTCATAATTACTTCCATAAACTGGAAATAATGCAATTGTCTTTCAGTGGGTGAAGGAGATCTGCTGGTTGAACTCATAACTGAGTCTACACAAGTGCCCTTTCTCAAGACTACTATCCTGCTTCTCTTTGCATATCTCCCATTTTCTCACAAAGAATATTAAAGACATGTACTCAAGGATCAAAATTTAATGAACATAAATATTTTACTGCTCCATCAAAGGCATTCTTAAATGGGACTGCAGTTTGGAGCCACTGCCTTGGTTCTGCTAAGGTGCTGGGTGTGCTACCGACCTTGGCATTTGCAGCATTAATGGAAAAGTCAACATAATGAAACAGGCAAATGGCATCTTGGTATTACTGTGAAAACAGGTTTCCCTCCAGGACTCTCTGAAGGCAGCTCAGGGGGCCACACTTTCAAAATGGCAGAGATCAATTATAGTTCCTAGTGAGACCCAACCCCTAGCCTATTCAGATTCAGCACTCTCTCTCGCTCTTTTTGTTCCCTCATTCTTCCAACTTATAATTGTATATATTTTCAAATGTGCAAAGAAGCTGAAAGAATAGTGCAGTAAAATTCAAGTTATCACTCTGATATATCTGATTAATATCTCTTTATATGCATGAAAGCAGCGTGTGGAATGATAGACAATAGAGACCCAGAAGGGTAAGAGTGGTTGGCAGTGGGTGTATCGTAGAGGAGTTTCTTGTTGGGGTCAATGTATCTGTCTCCAGTGGTGGATGCACTGAAGGCCCTGACTTTGCCACAACTCAATATAGCAATGTAGCAAAACTGCACCTGTGCCCCATGAATATATACGAATTTAAAAATTTAAAAATAAAATAACATCTCTCTTTGTAGATACAGGTAGACATGTTTGCATAGCATGTGTGTGAATGTGTGTGTATGTGTGTGTAGAGAGGCAGCAGGAATGAAGAGATTAAGATTTTGTGACTGAGCCATTCTAAAGTAACAAACATAAAACACGCATGGATAAATGTCTATGTGACAACAAACCTGAATATAAACATGAAAGAACATGTCTATAAACATATCTCTGGCTAGATAACCTATGAAAGAATTCCCTACCCCAGCTCCCTTACTGGTTACCCTGCGAACACAGGCAGGCAGGGAACAGGACCCAACTAGGTTCCCTCATCCTCTTGCTTCCAGGCAGGTCCTGCATCCACTCCTGCTGCACAGAGGGCTCCCATCTCTGCCTTGGTCGGTTTCACAGGTGCTCCCCTAACTCTCTCTGCCACCACTGCCTTACCTGGGTGGAGCTGAGGCTGCCTTGACCAAGAACAGCACCACCCATCTGTGTGCCCCAAGACCAGGAAGTTAGGAGGAACCACGTAACAGAGTCAATAACTATCCCACCTCCCCAGTCAGTCTGAACTGATGGCGGGAGATGCTGATGCTTGCTTATCCTCATTCCCCGTTTATTTATTCTTCGTTAATTCAGTCCAAACTCCCCTCAGTCTGAACTGATGGCGGGAGATGCTGATGCTTGCTTATACTCATTCCCTGTTTATTTATTCTTCATTAATTCAATCCAAACTCCCCTCAGTCTGAACTGATGGTGGGAGATGCTGATGCTTGCTTATCCTCATTCCCCGTTTATTTATTCTTCATTAATTCAATCCAATCTCCCCAGCAGTCACTTCACCCAGGAAGCAGACTGACCTCTGCTCTTCATAATCAGGAAACCCCAAAGCACTCTCCATCACCTCCCTGATATCACCCTTCAGCTCTACATCATCACATGTGGGCTCTAACTCTGAAGGCAGGTGTCCTCCCACAGGGTCAACCCCTGAACATTGGCCCCAGATGTCTCCCCATCTCTTCCCAGCCCTTTCAGTACTGCTGTGAATCTGTCCCTCACTGAGAACTGGCGGGGCGATGTGGGGGAGGAGGGGAAATTTCTTGGTGCTGTGTCAAAGCATCAAGACAGACCTCTCCTTCTCTCCTGAACCTCACACTCTATCTCTTCCCAGACACTTGAAATAAAACGCAGACCAGAAATGTCTATTTAAGAGTCAACACAATTTCTTTTTCTAGACAAGTTTCTCTTATTCTCAGGGCTCAGCTATGACTGTGGGTGACCAAACAACTATTCACAAAGGACAGAACTCGCTTCAATGCCAGCTTATGAATCCACACCTTGCCACCTGCAGAGGTGGAAAAAGGCACCTAAATCCACGATCCAATAGTTCTTCCTGCCCTTAACTCCTCACACACATCTGGACACTTGGAGAGTGTGGAGGGCACCCAGGGTGCAGGGTGGCAGTGGAGGCCTTGGGAAAACTGGCCAGGAAGCCAAGATATGCACCTCAGGTGACTAAATTTTTTTACTGTTCTGCACTTGCTGGAGAATGACCCCAAAAGATAAGATCAATTTGTTGACTACCAACTTATTTGGCTGAGCCATGGACATGGAGCAGATGAGCATTGCCTTTACCTATGACATGCATGAGGATTCTGAGACCTACCTGCAGCAGTTAAGCCCCACACCCAGAGGGACACCCACTCTCCCACCTCCTTACTTTCTGTATCTTTTCACACTTTATATCCTCATCCTTCCCTCTGAGAGTCTTCCCTCTTTGGGTCTTCTAGTCCTATCCTACCCTCTATCCCCTTCCAGGTGGCACAGGGCTTGACCATCACATTTGTGTCAGGTGACAATAATGCCAGGATCCTCAGTATGGGCAGCATCGCTTTGAGGTCAGTGATAGTGAGCTGCCTGATGAGACAGACATCTCCTCCACAGTGAGTGCTGATGTCATGAAGCCCTTTAGTTCTTCCTAGTTCCTTAATATGTTTGTCTTCAATCCTGTCATGGGCACCTGATGCATAATGGACACTTGGCTGCTTCATGCACCCTGGTCTTTGATGCCGTGTTGGGATGTTTTTCTGACCGTTATGTGGGGTATCTGTTTTCTTTCATCATATTACATCTCTTCCCCCACTCCCAAGTCTGTCCTCTGAACCCACACAGTACACCAGCATCTGCATGTGTGCCGTGTGCTCCTGCCTCACTTTTTCCTTTTCATTCCTTATTCTCACCATGCCACATTTTCCCCTTAGTTGAACAGACACAGTAGGGGACTAGCCCATTCTGGCATGTGACCACGCTTCAGGAGGAGACTGCAGGTTGGGGGTGAAGGAGACTCTACTGACCCCACCCCTGACATCCTCTTCCCCCACCCCCTGGCTTCTGTCCTCTGCCTCAGCACCACTCCTGAACCCCCATTCCTGATTGTCAGAATTTTTAACATAACTAAAAATGAAACACAAGTGCATCTGCATTATGTGTGGGTGCTCTCTCCCTTTATTTTATTTGGGGTGAGGTTATTTTAGGGCATGGCCCAGGGTAAATTCCTGTAAGGCCTTGGTGCCCTGCTGTGAGGTCAAAGAGGGATGGGACTAAGACTGCAGAGCCCTGGCTCCCCCACTACCTGCCAATTGCCAGCCCTTTGTGGGGTCTCTTCTGCTTTCTCTGGCCTGGGAGATGCTGGGGTGTTTCTGATCCTGGGGCTCCTGGGGGTGGTGCACATTAGTTCCAGGCATGGAGGGTGCTGTGGGCACTGCTGGGAAGCTTGGGTGTCCCCTCCCAGGCTCTCTCCTCCCAGGCTCTCTCAGTGCCTCCTCATCTGTTTCTTTAGCTTTTGGATCTTGAGCACCAGGGCCTGGGCCCCCACCGACTCCTTCCCTTCCAGGAGGGCCTGGTCCAGCTCCAGCTGCTGTGCAAGCAACTCCTCAGCTTGGGCCAGCTCAGCTGTGTGGGGGGCTCAGGGCCCTGGTCAGAGGGAGTGGAGGAGGGAGCATCAGCCAGGGTAGAGGGGTTGAGGCCCTTGGAACCTGTGTTGCAAGATCTCATGGTAAGTGAGGAATTCGACCTCGTTTTCTCTTTTTCCAGCCCATTAGCTTAAGTCCACCTGTAGTGAGAATCCCAGGGAGCAACCTGTCTTGGGCATAGGCCTCTGGAGGGCAGATACAGATCCCTGGCTCAGGGGCTATATCTGGATGCCTTGAATGAGGATATGGGGTCACCGGAAAGAGACAACCAGGTGTCTGTCCCCACTAATAAATGATTAACTGTTAGATGAGGGGGAATTCCTGTTCAAGGACTCTGGACTGTGCTGCTCTGGGCAGAGGGAGGGCTGGAGAGAGGGAGCCCTGAGGGCTGGGCTGGGGTGGGGGTGGAAGGAGCTGAGAGTTGGAAATAGGCAAAAAGCTGCAGAGGTGAGGGTAATGCAGGGTGGGATTGAGAGAATTTCCCCCGACTACTGTACTGATCCCTTCATCTCCTCCACCCGAGCACTTGGAGCCACATAGCGGGTGGCCTCATCTTCCCACTGTCCCAGAAGCTGTTCTGCCCTTCCATACTTGCCTTGGAGTTTTGGGAGCAGCATGTTTATGAGCCCTGGGGTGCCAGGGACCAGGAGGGCAGGAGGAGGTGAAGAAAACAGCACCGAGAGAGCCAGGGGAGTGGGAGGACTGTGGCAGGTGAGGCAAGGAGCTGTCTGAGCCGCTCAGCAGCCTTCAGGAGGCTCTCTCCAGGCCTGTCTTCACTCCAGTGCCTGGCCCTACCCAGGCCCCCACTCCCGCTCTGCTCTCAAGCTGGCCCCAGACAGGATCCCAAACAACTCCTGTTCCTAATGTGAAAAATGTTTCTGCCGCTTTAGGCAGAACTTGCTTTAGAGCACTGGCACAGCCTTCCGCAGGTCTTGTGTCTGATTCTCTTGGCACTGTGCCTTTTTTCACTTATTCTTCTGCAAGGAAGGAATTATATCACTGGTTGGGTGAGGCAACTGGCTCAGAGGGGTTCACTGAGCACTCACCCACTGGGCAAGTGTCTGTCAGGGCCAGCTATGGCCAAGATGTGTCCAAGGCTCTATAGCTAGCTGGTGGAAAGGCCTGGAGGGTTCATATTCAGGTCCACCTAACTTGAAAACTTATATTGACCTTACTTAAGTACTGATTCCCCCTTTATAATCCATGCCGCAAACTTCATTGTCTTATTTTAAGAAGTTGCCATAAGAGCCTTTAGCAACCACCCTCCTGATCAGCCAGCAGTCATCAACATTGAGGCAAGACCCTGCCCCAGCAAAAAGATTAAGATTAGCTGAAGCCTCAGATGATCCTTAGCATTTTTGAGCAATAGAGTAATTTTAAATTAAGGTATATACATAGTTCTTTTATACATAATGCTATCATACACTTAATAGGCTACAGTAGAGTGTGAATATAACTTTTCTATGCACTGGAAAAACAAAAATTTGTGTGACTTGTTTGTTGCCATGGTCTGAAACCAAATCTGCAGTGTCTCTGAGGTACGTCTGTAGTTTCCCTTTCCCTCTTCCTGCTGGCCCGGAATGACCTTGTTTCTTGCCCCTGTCTAGCCCTGCATGCTGCAGGGGTTTGCCTTCTCTGGTAGGTCTGGGAACTTTGCATCCTTGTAACCTTGGCTCCTGGCATATGACACTGGTACCAAGCTCTGTTGGACTAGTGAGCCTCCTCCCCACACACCTCCTGAACTAGAACCAAAGCTCTGTGCATGCACCGTGCATGTGTGAGCCAATGACAAGATGTTGTCTTCCTGCGAGTGTTCTGAAGGAGTGTTCTGTTGTGACTGGAGGACACAGCCACAGGCCCCCCAGGCAGAGGTGGCTCAGAAGGGAGTGGATGGCCCCGGTTTTGATCATCTGGGGACAAGAAGGTCCTGAGATAAAAACCCATGTTTTGGAAAACAAAACTGCCCGAGACTGAAAAGTGGCTAACCAATTCGCTATCTGGGACATCACTGCACACTGGGAGGGAAGATGGCTTCTGCCATGGTGTAGGGTCCCGGACCTAGACAAAGAGGCCTTCCTATGGCTCAGTGCTTCTGAAGCACCTTTAAATGAGGCCAAAGACCTCATGTTCATGATTAGCTGACTAGTTCCCACTCAGTGGAAAAAAAAACCCAGAACTTTTGCAAAATTTTAGGAGAGAGGGATTTCCCTCTTGTCTCTTAGTGCTACGGTTATGCATGACTCATACTTGAATTGCAGTGTGTACACAGCTTAAGGACTTAACTATTAGAATACAAGAGGCCCAAACTACTGTTGTTATAGATATGTAAAACTATATGGTATAAGGTTAAACAACCCACAACTAATTAACAGTGAAGATAAATTAACTACATTGCAAATTTAAAACAAGATTAGCAGCCCTTTAGAAAAAAA
This sequence comes from Homo sapiens, assembly GCF_000001405.40. Taxonomy (NCBI): domain Eukaryota; kingdom Metazoa; phylum Chordata; class Mammalia; order Primates; family Hominidae; genus Homo; species Homo sapiens. The sequence goes on from NT_167245.2 coordinate 1,167,568, forward strand.
ACAAAACACATGGGAGGTTGCAAAGGCAATCTAAATGATACTCTAATAAAAATCCTTCATGAAAATGACATTTCAACCCTCTGAGTTTCTGCTTTAAGTTATGAACTCCAAAATGGACTAACACCCAATAATTTACAGTAGGGAGGTCTAAGCCACCAAGAAAGGTGTCAGGGCAGACCTGAAACCTGGAATGAACACGCCCCCTCTCTCAGGGTAATGAGTAAATCCTCTAAGACCCGTTCTATCTCAGACAGACCATCCACTCATAAGGAGGTCAAAAGAAAGTTCCACACAGCACTGAGACCCAACCACCTCATTGTCCTCACCTCCACGGACAGAGCCCAGGTGAAGCCACCCCTGCTCCTCCTCCCTCATCTCCCACAGCCTCAGCACCATTGTCTGCGCTAAGTCCACCAGGACTCAGCTCATCATATCCTTTCCCTGTTTGTGTCAGTGACACTGGGTCCCCCACATACTCTGCACTCACATCCCCACAAGGCTCTGCACACCACTATTCTGTCTCCCCAACCTCCCAAACCACAGAAATCTTCCCAGTGCACCCCCTGGAATCTCAGTCAATGATCAACAAAACCTCCACACCCTCTCTCAGGATGTTCCTGCACCTCCCAGCTCCAGCAGCAACCTGGTCTCCCTGAGGACATGACCCCCTCTGAAGTCCTCCCACATAGGGGAGTTTCCCCCATGGACTTGTACCCCTGGGTTCAGAGGTGAGGTGGGGACCTTGCTCCTCACTGTGGTTCTCAGAACTTTCTGCCTCCCTCCTCCCTAAAACCCCTAGGCTGTCATCAGATTAGACCCCCATTCCCCTCATTGTAGCCATTCCCTGTGGGCCCCTGGCCTTTCCTCTCAATCCTGACTCTTGTAGCTCTTGGTTCACTGTCACCCTCTCCAGCAGTCTCCTTGACTGTTGGTGACTTCAACATGTGGTGGGCTGAGTAATGGTCCCGAAAGAGGTCCAGTCTTAGTCCTTGGAACCTGTGAACAGGTTGCATTACATGGCAAAAGGGACTTTACTCATGTAATGACGATTAAGGACCTTAAAATAGGGAGATTCTCCTGGACAATCTGTGTGGCCCCATTCAAATCAAATGAGCCACTAAAAGCAGAGAACCTGCCCTGGCTGGAGTCAGATTCTGCAGAGGAGGAAGGCAGAGGAGACATAGAAGAGGGGAGGTCAGACGTTCCAAGCAGGAGGATTGGATGTGCCTTAGGCACCATGTGTGAGTAGCTGAAAGAAGATTCTAGGAGCTAAGCATGGCTCTTAACAAGGAAGTGGAAACCTCTGTTCTATGTGCAAGGAAGTGAATTCAGACAAGAACCTGAATGAGCTTGGAAATGGATTCTTCCCCAGAGTCTCCAGGAGGGAACACAGACCTGCCCATACCTTGATCTTAGCCCCATAAGACTGTGTGGACTTGCAACCTACAGGACTGTAACATGATAATTAGGTGCTGTTTAAAGCCACTTGGTTTGTGGTAATTCTTATGGCAGCAATAGACACCTATACAGCAGAGAAGATGCCCTTGCTCCCTGGACTCTCAGATCCTGGAACTCCTCTCCTCCATGACCTTCTCCTCTCTCTGCCTGAATCTCATGCCCCTGTCATCCCCTAGGCCTCATCATGCCCAAGAACCCCAGCCCTTCCATACTCTCAATTTCACACTTCCCACTCTCTGGCCATCTTTCCACTCATCCCATGCAAGGTGGCCACAGGCTCTGAGGACACAGACTCTATCATTTTATCATATGCTGTGAGGTAATATCAGTGACTACTCATTGCATATGTGCCTGCATTCCAGGCTTGAAGTCCACCCTTTAGCACATCAATTCCAACAATCCTTCGACCCCCACCCTGGGAATACCAATCCAGTGATTCCACCATCTACTCACTGTCCCTCATCGTTGGTGTCTTCTCTAACTTCATGACCCAAACCACATGGGGAGCCCCCACCAGGGCCAGCAATCACCCTCTCCCTGCATGGCTCACCCTCAGCCTCCTCCTGGCCTGGGTGACCCTTACACACCTTCTCTCTGTGCTCACACATCCAACCCTCCTTCCCCATTCTTATCTCAGCTGACAACCTTGGTTCCTACCTCACTGAGAAAACTGAACACATTAGAAGACAGATTCCATCACCATCTGCTCATGCATTTGCAGCTGCAACACATGTCAGGTGTTTTACCATGTTGGGGACTGTTGTGGGTAAACCATTCTGCTCCCATCAGAGCCAGTCCCTCTTCTGGTGCCCAAAATGTCATCCCTTATCATCTACTTAAAGGTGTCAGTTCATCAATTAATACCTTTTTTTCTCTTTATCATCAACCTTTTTCCTCTCTCCCCACTGGATCATTGTGGCAGTCATGAGAATGCACATCCCAGCCCCTCAGCTAGAGTAAGCAGAATTGATAGTGGCCTCAACTTTTGAATCCTGAAACCTATTGCCACATTTGCTCTGAGACCACACCTGCCCCCTGTCTTTTCCTGCCAATGACTGAGGAAAGCAGGGCAGAAACTAAGGCAGGAACATTTCTTCTCTGAAGGCTGACTGAAGCTCTAGGGCTTCCTGCCACGCTTACTGAACTTCTGTTAGCCTGCACAGGGTCTAGGATGCTTCCAGCTGACCTTCCTGCACTGTTTACCTCACTGGGGCTCAGAGTTGCTTTGTGGTCTGATGACATTCCCAGCATTTTCCGTCTGTGTCCTGAATTTCTCTCATAACTATTTCCTCTAATAAATCCTTGCACATTGAATACTGTATTGGGGTCCGCTCCTCAGGGGACCCTAACTAACACAAGTAGTATGAAGGGTGATCCATGAAAACAGGCAAAAATGAGAATTTGAAAAAAGCTTGCCCACTGCCTGGCAGGCCAAGAGGATGCCACCAGGGTTGTGGGAGACACAGAAATTCCATAGCACAAGATGCAGCCGAGCTGCTATGGGTCTCACCAGTGCTGAGCTGAGAGGATGCCCTGGTTAGGGGAAGCTATGGCAGGTGGGGTGATAGAATGCCCTGCACAATAATGACGGGGTTAGGGGGAAACCTACAAAGACAGTGGAGTTGGCTGGTTACTGCTCAGCTGCAATGATGCCCTGTGAAAGTATCATGAGAATCTGCAGATTGTTAACAGCTGTCACTGGCTACATGTGACAGCCTCTGCAGTGTCTCATGCACAGGTCTTTATCTCTTGTAGCGAAAGGGCAGATACCGTGGAATGGTAGCTGAAGACATCACTATGAGGGCCACAGTGCTCCAGAGAGGTTTGCCACTCAGCCAAGGCAGGCCTGTTACAGGAAAGTCAGGACCCTGGTGGGGAAACCTGAGATTCTGCAAACAGGAACAGGGTTATCCGATGGGTGCCCTCCAGGATCCTCTGGGCATGCATAGGAGGCTCACCCTTCTCTAGTAATGGTTCCCACTTCCTATGCTGGAAGATGCTACAGAAGTCTCACCCCCATGATACAGCAGGAATCCCACTGAAGAGCTTTGCAGGAACTAGCTGGCACGTCCCCATAGGAGGCCGAGGAGCACTTCTGGGATTGGAATTTGAGGGTGTTTGATCAAGGAACCAGAATTTCAAGCTGGAAGAATAAAAATCCTTTGGCTTGGAGGCACTTTCTCAAGGCATGGGTTTATCAAACACCCCAGGACTTTGATAAGGGGGGGGCCAAACCCACCGCTGGGGTGAATCCATATAGACTAGAAAAAATGATGCCTAACTCTCAACAAGGTAGACGTGACTTAGTTGCCCTGGAACTTGCACAGGATGGAATAACAAGGCTGAGGGAAGTGGGCATGGTGAAGGCCCACCAGTACCATGCTCCACAAGACGGTCCAAAGGAAACACCTTCCACCAGAGCCTCAGAAACGTGATGGTGAGAGGGACCTGCATCATTAAGAAATGTCGGGGTGTTGTCCTCTGCAGGCTGGATGTGATGGTAGTAAAGATGACCCAGAGTTGCATTTATTAATATCCCTGGGGAGAGTGTGGCCCTGAAGAGACAAAGACCAAATGGTGGCAGTGACCTGAAAAAGCCAGAGGGCAGAGTTACTATGGCAAACTAAAAGGAGTAGCCAATAGGACTCAAGCTGCAGGGAATGTGGGGAAGGATAGTAGAGGGTGGTGTCCCAGGATTAGGACAGGAAGCCAACAAGGGCGCTGCTTGATATCTATGATAAGAAAGCAAGAATTGAGAAGCAGGAGGGTGAAGGTGTTTGACCCAATACAAAGTCATGATCCCATCCTCAATGCCTAGACCTCAGCCAAAGTTCAGATTCAGATCCCAGTGACAGAGGAGGAGTCCATATCCCTAGGAGGAATACCCTGCAACTCCGTGGAAGTAAATGCTGGCACAATTCCCTCAGTCCTTCAGCAAAGGAACCTATAGCCATTTACTCAGGAGATTGTACACTGGCGAAAGGAAAGATGCAGAACTGGTCAGATTATTGACACTGAGTGAGAGCTGACATTGATGCCCAGATGCCCACAGCACTATCATGTCTCCCATCACAGTGGGGCTTACGGAGGTCAGGGAGTAAACCTGGACACATTACGGCCCACAATGGAACTACTGGATCCATAGACCCAGCCCTGGTTATCTTCCAATTCCCTGAGTGCATAATTAACACTGATGCACTGTTAAGTGGAGTCACCCCCACACTGGGTCCCTAGTCTGTGGAGTCAGGACTCTCATTGTGCTGAAAGCCAAAGGGAAACCTCTGACGCTGCCCACATCCTGGCAAAAAAAAAAAAAAAAAAAATCATAGTGTGTCCCAGGGTGTGTCTTGAGGAAGACACTGAAAGTAATGTGGGGGTCACACCACCATTAGAGAGCTGAAGGATGTGGGATGGTGTTGGGGTTGTCTATTGTCTCTACATAATCCAGCAACCTGTCCCTGAGGAAGCCTGATGAGGACTAAAGAATGAATGAGATTACTCCAGGCCTGGCCAAGCAGGAATTATAATTGCAGCTTTTATGTTGTCTGGATATAACTGCAGAGCAGAATAATAAAGCCTCGGGCACACAGCGTGCAGCTATGGATTTGGTGAGTGCATTTCTTTCCACTCCAATTAGAAAGGGGATATGGAGCGATTCACATCCATGTGGGATCCACAACACATTTATTTATAGTTTTTTCTCAGGGCTATTGTAACTCCCCTGCCCTATATAGTATGGTCTAAAGACAATACTAGACATACTGGATATTCTATAGGATATTAAATCAGCTCATTTCACTGACAACTTCATGTTGACTGCGGTGAATGAGCAGCAGGTAGAAAGTGCACTGGAGTCATTGGCAAAACACACGCACTCCAGTATGTGAAGATAAACCTTACAGAGCTTCAAGAGTGGCCACTGAAGTGAAGTTTTATGGGTTAACAAGTGCCAAGTGTTTAGGGGAATGCAGGTGTGTTCCCCCCAAGGTAAAAGACAAACTGTTTCATCTTGCATCCTCACCAGAAGGAAGGAAGCACACTGCCTGATGAGCCTCTTTGAGTTCTGACAACACCACATTCCACATCTAGGTACGTGCTTTGGCAAACACTCTAGGTGACATAGGAGGAGGCCAGCTTCAAGTAGGGCCTACACAGGAAAGGACCCTGCAGCAGATCCAGGCCATGGTGCAAGCAGCCAGCGTCCCTCAGACCCCCTGGGGCTGGTGGTGCCAGTGGTGGGGAAAGATGCAGGATGGAGCAGAACCAAGCACCAGTGGGAGAGTCACAGTGAAGGGCCTGGGATTCTGGAGTAAGATCATGTCATCCACAGCAGAGACATATGCCCCCTGTTAGAAGCAACTTTTAGTGTTCCTTGTACTGATTTGATAGAAAGCTTGACCACAGGACACCAGGCAACTATGTGGTTCCAAGTGCCTTTGTGACCCACAACATCATAAATTGCACAGGCCCAACAGCATTCATCATGAAGTGAAAATGGTCCACCTGGATTGAGCTTGAATCCCACGTTTACACCCACAGAAAACACCCAAGTCTGATGTGGCACTGAACAACCAAACAGACAAATGGCAGTTAGCCAGCCTTCACCATGGGTCAGCCCAGGCCTGGTAGGATGGGTGCATGAATGGAGCAACCACAGTGGCAGGCATGAGTGCCAGCAGCACTGACTTCCCCCTACCAAGGCAGATCCAGCTGCTGCCACCTCTGAATGTCCAACTCATCAGCATTTTAGGCCCATGATGTGCCCTAGTGGGGCACTATTTCTTTAGGTGACTAGTCATTAACTAAGAAGTTGACTACATTTACCTACTTCCATCCTGGAAGGACCAGAGGTTCATCTTCACAGGGTTAGGTACCTATTCTAGGGGGGGTTTTCTGTCCTGCTCTCAGACACAGCCAGTACCACTCTCTGGGTGCTGTTGACATTCCTGGTCTGCAGGCTAGGCAGTGCTCCTAGCCCATTATCTGCCTGAAGGATCCACTTGGCAAGGGAAAGATTCAGTGTTTCCATGGCTGTTGCTTCCACTAACCCTATCACCAGCTACTCTCCCCAGGGGCTGCCAGCCACAAGGAATGCCCCATATGTAGCCTCACACCTGCCACTGTGGTTGTTCCATTCATGTGCCCATCCTATCATGCATGGGCTGACCCATAGTGAAGGCTGGCTAGCTTCCATTGGTCTGTTTCATTGTTTAATGACACTTCAGACTTGGCTGTTTTCTGTGGGTGTCAACATGGGATTCAAGCTCAACCCAGGTGGATCATTTTCACCTCATGATGAATGCTGTTTGGCCTGTGCAATCTATGACTTTCTGGGTCACACAGGCACTTGGAACCACATAGTTGCTTGGAGTCCCGTGATCTTCCACAGGCACAACTAAGTGCCAGCCTGGAGGAAGCACTCTGAGGGTTGCGTGCCATCTTTCAGGACATGGTGCGTTGTTTAAATCAGAGTCGTCTCTACAGTTCTGTGTTCGCAAGAGGAAGAACATGTGGGTCCAGAAATCAAACGGTGGAAGCAGGTATGGCTCCATGTCTAATCTCTTAGATTCACCTAATGGGGTATTTGACATGTTTTATCTCAGAACACTGGGCTGTGCAGGGTACGAGGTCCTGGTTTGCAAAGGAGGGTACCCTTAAAAGCAGACAAAAGACAGCCCACTGAACTACACATTAAGTTTGTCACCAGAGAAGTGTGGACAGTATATGCCCAGAGACCACCTGGTGAGAAGAGGAGTCTCCTCCTCTCCAGGCCCAGGTAATAGATCCTCATCCCCAGGAGGAGGCATGGCTACTTTCACACAATAAAGGCAGAAGTGTGGAAACCAGAGATCCACCTGGGGGCCTTCTGTTTTCCCTCACCCCATTGCAAGTGAGAGTAGAATTATCCAGCAATTCAGCCTGAGAGGATTTGATTTCCAAGGGCCCAGACCCATCAGGGCAGAAGGTTTGAGTCACACTCCTGGGTAATCCTCCAAGGCCGTGCTCCTGTGCTCTGACATCCTCAGTGGCATTGGTGCTGAGGCCCTGCTTCCCATGGACTATTCCCAACCAGTGATGGGTCACACCAGTGACACTAAGGCAGGACATTCCTGGAAGACAGGGGACTCCTCTGATGGCCAGCTGTGGCTGGAGGACTCCTCCATAGCCTTGCTCAACTCTCCTTAGATTGCCTGTGGTCTAGGACATGTTAAGTAATCCTTCCTTCCTTCTTTCCATCACTGGGGGTCACACTTGCATCTTATTCTATTGCCTTTCCCAGGGTAACCTACCTCCCTCACCATATCGTCTGACAGGTGTGTCCCCTAATAAAATGCTGTAACTTTAATCCTATGATGGCACTTGCTTTTTGGAGCATTTGGACTACAAAATCATTTTCGTCTGCACACCAGTGACCTCTTACTTATTCCAACGTGTAAAATCTTTTTGTTTATTCAACTTCTTCTACCTGCATTGGCTCCATTTTGCTGGTATTTGTATTATGTTTTTGAGTTCACCAATGTTTGTTGCTGTAAGTCACTAAATTTGGGGGTAGTGTTTTACACAGCAACAGATAACTAATGAAGCCTTCTTACATTTCCGTTATTCGATAGAGGTTAACTACGTCTATTTTATTTCCTCCTATTTTGATAATATTAGCCATACAGAGGGTTTCCAGTTCCCAACGCCTATTCTTTTCTTTATTTTAGTTTCTTTTCTCCTTTGTTCCTTCTTTTTCTCTTTCCTTCTGTCCCTCCTTCCCTCTTTAATTCCATTCAATCTCTCGCCCTCCTTCTCCCTTCCTCCTTTCCGTCCTTTTTCTTCCCCTTCCCCTTCCTTCTTTTCTTCTTTCACTCCTTCCTCAATTCCTCCTTCTTTCTCTCCCTTCCTCCATTTTTTCCTTTTTATTATGAAATTTTCCTAACATATTAAATAACCCCTACGTGATTGTGTTATCAGTAAGCATTTTCTGAATCTATATGTCAAAAGTATAATACCATGGTATATGAGAAACAAGTAAACAACAGGAAGTTATTAACAGAGTCTGAATAAAAATGCCTGCTATAATTCTGCAGCCAAGACAGTGGCTTTTAACTCAATTCCTTCGACTAGGTGTTTTCAGAACACATGAGTTTAAGTTGACACAATCACCTTGGAAATCATATTATCATTATCTATATGGTTAAAGTCCATACAACATATCGTCCAACCCTCCCACTCCTAACCATACACTCTAGCGGGCTTTCTTGCCTATGTGCCCAGGAGACAGGCACACTGATGTTTATGGCAAAAACTGGAATCAGCCACATATACATCAATAGGAAATATACATCAATAGGAAATTGTGGCATAAAATGTAAACCTTCAGCAGTGAAAATGAATGAATGACAGCCTCCCACACCACAGATAACTCCTGTACGTAATGTGCATCATGGGAAAATAAATGCAGTAGGAATTTGCTGTACAGGAAGCTTAAAAACCAGCAAAAGTAAATAATTTTTTTTCAGATATATATATGTACATATATATATATACTTATTGTGCAAATCTTTAAAGAAATACAAAGGAATAAGGATCACAAGACTCAGGATGGAGTCTGTCTCTGGGGGATGTGACTGGGCAGCAGCCCAGGGAAGCTTTACAGGTTTGTGTTTTACACCAGTGCTGGGCATCTTTTTAGTTACATGATTGTAATTTGTTAAACAGAGTTTTCAAATTAAAATATACCTGGTATTTATAAAAATGAAAGAGAAAAGAATACCAAAGTTCATTGCAAGGATCCTTAACAAGAACTACTTACATTGAAAGAAAACCACAGAGAAATGTAAGCAGCCATGTGACAGAGAGGACCAGGATGTGATGAAAATGGCCTTGGTTAATAATAGGTCATTTGATCCTTAGCTCACTGGCATCTCTCTGGATTTTCAAGTATACAATGTTCAATCTGATGTGCAAGGTAATTCCTTCTTGCAAAGGATTTGGTGTTACATTTTACCACACATACAACTGAATTAAACTTTCACAGAATTGGAAATACACATCACTGATCAAAATAAATGAAACAAGAAAAGAGTAGAAAGGAACAACCAGTGATGGAATAGCAAATATGAATGGAAAGCAAAATAAGACAGCTAAAAAAAAAAGAAAAAGAAAGCTTCAGAAGCACATAATAGCAGTGCTATTTAGAACTGTAGTAGTGTCCAAATCACTTCTACCACATCTCATGCAATACCACACCCAAAAATGTTAAGTTTACAATAGAATGCCCCTGAGCCGTTTTTGGAAAAAATTTGATTCTCAATTCGAGTTAAGCATTTTGGGCTACTGCATCAAACCAAAGTTACTGGCATTATGCTAAGCTAGATGTGTTGACTGAAGTATGAGATTCCCATTTTTGTAAATGAGAAGCAATCTGATTATGCAATTTTTTCTAAGTGAAAGCAAGTTTATTAGAGAAGTAAAGAAACAAAAGAATGGCTACTCCATAGACAGAGCAGTGTGTGTGTATTTTTTTTTTAAGTGTAGGCAAATGTTTTCTGAAGATGATATGTCAATAAGAAAATTGGCACTTGGGGCATACTTCCACTAAATTTGAGACATCTTAGACAAAACAAAGACTTATTTTCAAGGCATCATTCTTATGGCACTGAAGTCTTGGAACTATTTGATCTAGTTACTCTATGTTCTCAACTGTGTTAACTTATTGAAGAACATTGTTATTAAAGGTATTTACAAGAGAAACGCAGAGATACTGTTGTTTCTCCTTTCTCTGTCTCAAACTGTTTTCCCTGCAGCACCCAAGGCTCTGTCATGTCTCAAACATTTAATCATTAATTTAAAAAGAGAAGCTTATCACAGAATTAGAAAAAAAAATTTGAAAATTCATATGGATCCAAAAAAGAGGTTGTGTAGCCAGGAGAATGCTAAGCAAAAAGAATAAAGCTGGAGGCATCAGGCTATCCTACTTAAAACTATACTATAAGGCTAAAGTAACCAAAACAGCATGGTACTGGTAGAAAAACAAGCATATAGACCAACAGAACAGAATAGAAAACTCAGAAATAAGACCTCACATCTACAACCATGTGATCTTCAACAAACCTGACAAAAACAAGCAATGGGGAAAGGAAACGCTATTTAATAAATGGTGCTGGGAAAACTGGCTAGCCATATGCAGAAAATTGAAACTGGACCCCTTCTTTACACCTTACACAAAAATTAACTCAAGATGGATTAAAGACTTAAATGTAAAACCCAAAACTAGAAAAACCCTGAAAGAAAATCTAGGCAATACCATTCAGGACATAGGCATGGGCAAAGATTTTATGATGAAATTGCCAAAAGCAACTGCCACAGAAGCAAAAATTGACAAATGGGATCTAATTAAACAAAAGAGCTTCTGCACAGGAAAAGAAACTATCATCAGAGCGAAAAGGAGACAACCTACAGAATGGGAGAAAATTTATGCAATCTATTGATCTGACAAAGGTCTAATATTCATAATCTAAAAAGAACTTAAGCAAATTTACATGAAAAAACAACTTCATTAAGAAGTGGACAAAGCACATGAACAGACACTTCTCAAAAGAAGACATACAGGTGGCCAAAAAACATATTTTAAAAAGCTCAATATCACCGATCGTTAGAGAAATGCAAATCAAAACCACAATAAGATACCATCTCATGCCAGTCAGAATGGCAATTATTAAAAAGTTAAGAAACAACAGATTCTGGCGAGGTTGTAAAGAAATAGGAATGCTTTTACACTGTTGGTGGAAATGTAAATTGGTTCAACCAATGAGGAAGGCAGTGTGGTGATTCCTCAAAGATTTAGAACCAGAAATACCATTTGACCCAGCAATCCCATTGCAGGGTATATACCCAAAGGAATATAAATCATTCTACTATAAAGATATGTGCATGTGTTTGTTCATTGCAGCACAATTCACAACAGCAAAGACATGGAATCAACCCAAATGCCCACCAATGAGGGACTAGATAAAGAAAATATGGTACATATGTGCCATGGAATATTATGCAGCCATAAAAAGGAATGAGATCAAATCCTTTGCAGGGATATGGATGAAGCTGGAAGCCATTATCCTCAGCAAACTAACACAGGAACAGAAAACCAAACACCGCATGTTCTCACTTATAATTGTGAGCTGAGCAATGAGAACACATGGACACAGGGAGAGGAACAACACACACTGGGGCCTGTTGGGGGAGGGCGGTGGTGGGGGGAGCATTAGGAAAAATGGCTAATGCATGCAGGGGTTAATACCTAGGTTATGGGTTGATTGGTGCAGCAAACTGCCGTGGAACCCGTTTACCTGTGTAACAAACCTGCACATCCTGCATATGTACCCTGGAACTTAAAATTAAACTAAATTAAATTAAAGGACAAGATTAAAATGTTAAGGAAAAATAATTAGATTAAAAGCCTTTAACTTAAAAATCCTGAAATAATAGTTTGAATTTTGCTTTTAACATATATGCAAATCCTTTAATACTGCTCCCTTCCAGAGGTGCAGCTTAATTCCCTCTCTTGAGTGTGGCTTGGACTTAATGATGCACTTCTGATATGGCCTGGTTCTGTGTTCCCACCCAAATCTCATCTTCAATTGTCATGCGAATTGTAATCCCCAGTATTGAAGGAGGAACCTCATGGGAGGTGATTGGATCATGCTGTTCTAATGATAGTGAGTGAATTCTCATGAGATCTGATGGTTTTATAAGGGGCTTTTCCCCGCTTCCCTCTGCATTTCTCTCTCCTGCCACCATGTGAAGAAGGACGGGTTTTCTTCCACTTCTGCCATGATTGTAAGTTTCCTGGGGCGGCCTCCTCAGCCATGCAGAACTGGGAGTCAGTTAAACCTCTTTCCTTTATAAATTACCCAGTCTCAGGTATTTCTTTATAGCAGTGTGAGAACAGACTAATACAACTTCTAACTGATAGAACAATGCCGACATAACAGCTTGTGACTCTGGGTGTAGAACCTAAAACTCACTGCGGCTTCCACCTTCTCTCTCTCTGTCTCTGGGATCATGAGCTCTGGGGAAAGTCAGCTGCTGTGCCATGAGCAGCCCTGCAGGAAGGTCCATCTGGCTAAGAACTGAGGCCTTCTGGGACTCAATTACAATGAACTAGGCCTTTTCCAACAGCCATGTGACTGATCCATGTTTCATGTGAATCCTCAGCCGCAGTGAAGCCCTCAGATGATGCAGGCCTAGACTGACAACTGGACTGCAACCTTGTGAGATGCCCTTAGCAAGAAGCACTCAGGGAAACTTCTCCTGGATTCCTGACAATTGGAAACTGTGGGAGATGATCAATATTTGTTGTTTTGAAATGGTACATTTTACATAATTTGTTATGCAATAGTAAATAACTAATACATTTTCACAAGAGAGGATGTATTATTACATGTTAATTTGCATTTGCTCTAAATTTATCATCATCATTATTATTATTTTTGAGACAGGGTCTCACTCTGTCACCCAGGCTGGAGTGCAGTGGCATGATCACCATGCACTGCAGTGTCGACCTCCTGGGCTCAAGGGACCCTCTGACCTCAGCCTCTTGAGTAGCTGGGACTAAAATCATGAACCACCATGCCTGGCTAATTTTCTAATATTTTGTAGAGATGGGGGTTTCACCATGTTGCCCAGCCTGATCTTGAACTTTGGAGTCAACAAATCTGCCTTCCTCTGCCTTCCACAATGCTAGGATTGCAGGTGCGAGCCACCAAATCTGGCCTAAATTAATTAAAAGATATAAATATGTAACTTAGTTTTAAAAGGTAAGGAGAATTTCCGTGGCTGAAAAGGATGTATTTTATTACCGTCCACAATGATTACTTTACTTGAACTTCAGTTTGCAACTATGTCCCAAGTGAACACAAAAAGAAGATCCAGCCCTTGCTAGGCTGATTCTATGATGGCCTCAACAACAAGCTCCTGGTCATTCACCTTCCCCCCATTATTCAACCAACTCTAATATAGGTGCTACTGTGAAGGGATTTAGCAGATATAATTAAGGGCCTCAATTAGTTGACTTTAGGCTGGGTTTATGCTGCTTGGACTGTCCTAATCAGGTGAGTCCTTGAAAGGACTGGGTTCTTCCTGAGCATAGAGATTCACAGTGTGAGAGGGATTCAGCATGAGGGGTTTCCTCCACTGTGGGCTTTGAAAATGAAGGGGCTGTACAGGGAAGAATGCTGGTGGGCATCAGGAATTGAGCACAGCCCTCCCTGTTCTCTACATTGACAGCCAGCAAGGAACGCGGACCTCAGTCTTACAACTGCAAGAAACTGCATTCTGCCACCTCTGTATAAGCCTGAAGGAGGATTCAAAATGAAAACACAGCTTTGGGAAGCCCGGAACAGAGATTCCATCCACATCATGCCCAGATTTCTGACTAAGGTACTATAAACAGATAAATGGGTGTTGTTTGGCCAGGCGTGGTAATGCACACCTGCAATCCTAACATCTGAGAAGCTGACACAGGAGGATCACTTGCATCCAGGAATTTGAGACCAGCCAAGATCAAACAGTGAGACACTCATCTCTACAATTTCTTTTTAATTTGCTGGGCGTGGTGGCACTTGTCTGCAGTCCTATCTATTCTGAAGACTGAGGCAGGAAGATCCCTTGAGCCCAGGAGTTTGAGGCTGCAGTGAGCCATGATCATGTGACTGCACTTCACCCTGGATGACAGAGGGAGACTCTGTCTCTAAAAACAAATAAATCAACAATAATTGGGTGTTGTTTAAAGTCAATGTTTGTGATAATTTGTTATGCAATCTTATAAAATTCATACACAGGCTCAACAGACTCGGAATGAATTGATATGCACACTAGTTACATAAAATAAAATATTTCTTAATTTTTCAGTGTTTTACATTTTATAACTTTCTGTGATGCAATTTAATACCTTCATATTTCATTCATTCAGTCAACAAAAATTAATTTAGTGCCTAAGATGAACCAGGTATGCCCTCATATGCTCATGTGCCTGACATTCTAGAAGCTTCACAAGACCGAGGTGGAGCCACTGGAGTGTTTTAGGTGAGGAAATGACACACTCTGACTCACAGGAGCAGGGCCACTGTGGAGAGAACAGTCACGTAGCAGGTAATGGGACAATGCTAGAGCCACAATTTAGAAGTGACAGGGTGGTGGGGACTAAGGGGAGAGGAGGGCCTGAGGGATGAAAGGGACAGAGGGAAGGGCTGGAGAAGCAGGAGGTTAGGAAAAGGAGCAGAGGGAAGGAATTGGAAAGCAGTAGAATTCTTAGGTTTAAACACATTGTTTTATAGATTTTTATTACATCCATCTACAGAGCCTCGCTCAGTGTTCTTTGCAGTTGGCCTTTAATACCTAATGTAGGACTGCCTAAAAACTAATGTTTTTTATGTTAATAAGGTTTAAAAAATACTTAGTGTTCCTTCTTTGCAGTTGGCCTTTAATACTATATTTGGGACTGCCTAGAAACTAATTTTTTTTAATTAATCAGGTTTTAAAAATACTAAGTGTTCCTATAAGATATTCACACCACTTAGACGTGAATACTTCCTAAAAACAGGCAGCGCATGAGCACTGCTGAGGGGCATTGTGACTGCATTGAACATTTGCAACTGTGAGGTGAATAAAGTCTGTACTGGCTCCCGGTTGCAACATATAGTAACACAGTGTGCTACTTTATATTGAGGAGATGTCTTGGACTCACCCAGTAACTCAGGGCTGTGGAATGAAGGTAAATGTAAAAAACAAGCGGGAGTCACAGATACATTGTCTGCGAAAGTCAAACTTAGTAGCTTTGTGAGTCCTGTTGTAATGCTTTCAGACACATTTATATATCAAGGGGCCAAAGTTACATTTTTTACCGATTAGATTCCTGATCATTTAGGGGTTGCCAAGATTCTGCTACCCACTGTAGTTAATAAACAAAGAGGAAACTTGTCTCTATTCTATCTCATGTACTCAGGCACAACTTTTCCGGATTTAAAGAAAAAAAAAAACCTGTCTCTACGCCTCCATTCCCAGGGCGAGCTGCCTCTCTGGCGGCGAGCTCCCTCTCTGTCACCAAGCTCCCTGGGGTGAGTTTTTTTCTAGAAGAGTTCAGGGAAATAGGTAAGGAGTGGGAGGCAGGGAGTCCAGTTCTGGGACGGGGATTCCGGGATGAAAAGTGAAGAGGGAAGGGGCCCATGACGAGGGTTTCTCCCTGGTTTCTCAGACAGCTCTTGGGCCAAGACTCAGGGAGACATTGAGACAGAGCGCTTGGCACAGGAGGAGCGGGGTCAGGGCGAAGTCCTATGGCCCCAGGCGTGGCTCTCAGGGTTTCAGGCCCCGAAGGCGATGTATTGATTGGGGAGGCCCAGGGTTGGGGATTCCCCATCTCCGCAGTTTCTCTTCTCCCTCTCCCAACTTATGTAGGGTCCTTCTTCCTGGACACTCAGGATGTGGACTCAGTTCTCACCCCCATTTGGTGTCGGGTTTCTAGCGAAGCCAATCGGCGTCGCTGGGGTCCCTGTTCCAGAAGTCCCCGCGAACCCACTGGGACTCAGATTCTCCCCATACGCCGAGGATGGGGTTATGGCGTCCCGAACCCTCCTCCTGCTGCTCTTGGGGGCCCTGGCCCTGACCGAGACCTGGGCGGGTGAGTGCGGGATCCGGAGGGAAATGGCCTCTGCGGGGAGGAGCTAGGGGCCCGCGCACTGGGGCGCAGGACCCGGGGAGCAGCGCAAGGAGGAGGGTCGGATGGGTCTCAGCCCCTCCTCGCCCCCAGGTTCCCACTCCATAAGGTAGTTCAGCACCGCCGTGTCCCGGCCGGGTCGCGGGGAGCCCCGGTACATCGCAGTGGGCTACGTGGACGACACGCAGTTCGTGCGGTTCGACAGCGACGCGGCGACTCCGAGGATGTAGCCGCAGGCGCCGTGGTTGGAGCAGGAGGGACCGGAGTATTGGGACCGGAGCACACGGAACATCAGGCCCGCGCACAGACTGACAAGAGTGAACCTGCCCATGCCGCGCCGCTACTACCACCAGAGCTAGGCCGGTGAATGACCCCGGCCTGGGGCGAAGGTCACGACCCCTCCTCATCCCCCACGGACGTCCCGGGTCCCCCCCGCGAGTCTCCGGCTCCGAGACCCACCCCGAGGCTGCGGGACCCGCCAGATCCTCGACCCGGGAGAGGCCCAGGCGCCTTTACCAGGTTTCATTTTCAGTTTAGGCCAAAATCCCCGCGGGTTGGTCGGGGCGGGGGCGGGGCTCGGTGGGCGGGGCTGACAGCGGGGGCGGGGCCAGGGTCTAACACCCTCCAGATA
Organism: Homo sapiens; assembly: GCF_000001405.40. Taxonomy (NCBI): domain Eukaryota; kingdom Metazoa; phylum Chordata; class Mammalia; order Primates; family Hominidae; genus Homo; species Homo sapiens. The sequence continues at coordinate 1,184,352 of NT_167245.2, forward strand.
ATGTATGGCTGCGACTCGGGGCTGGAACGGCGCCTCCTCCGCGGGTATGAACAGCACGCCAACGATGGCAAGGATTACATAGCCCGGAACTAGGACCTGCGCTCCTGGACCGCGGCGGACATGGCGGCTCAGATCACCAAGCGCAAGTGGGAGGCAGAAGAATTTGCAGAGCAGATCAGGGCCTACCTGGAGGGCACGTGCGTGGAGAGGCTCGCAGACACCTGGAGAACGGGAAGGAGATGCTGCAGCTCACGGGTACCAGGGAACACAAGACGTCTCCCTGATCGCCTGTAGATCTCCTGGGCTGGCTTCCCACAAAGAGAGAAGGAAAATGGGACCAACACTAGAATGTCGTCCTCTCTCTGGTCCTGAGGGAGAGGAATCCTCCTGGGTTTCCAGATCCTGTACAAGAGAGTGACTCTGAGGGTCTGCCCTGCTCTCTGATACAATTAAGGGATGAAATCTCTGAGGAAATGAAGGGAAGACAATCCCTGGAATACTGATGAGGGGTTCCCTTTGACACCAGCAGCAGCCTTGGGCCCCGTTACTTTTCCTCTCAGGCCTTGTTCTCTGCTTTACACTCAATGTGTGTGGGGGTCTGAGTCCAGCTCTTCTGAGTCCCTCAGCCTGCACTCAGGTCAGGACCAGAAGTCACTGTTCCCTCCTCAGGGACTAGAATTTTCCACGGATAGGAGATTATCCCAGGTACCTGTGTCCAGGCTGGTGTCTGGGTTCTGTGCTCCCTTCCCCACCCCAGGTGTCCTGTCCATTCTCAGGATGGCCACATGCGTGCTGCTGGAGTGTCTCATGAGAGATGCAAAGTGCCTGAATTTTCTGACTCTTCCTGTTAGACACCCCCCCCGCAAGACACATATGATCCACCATTCCATCTCTGACTATAAGGCCACCCTGAGGTGCTGGGCCCTGGGCTTCTACCCTATGGAGATCACACTGAGCTGGCAGCAGGATGAAGAGGACCAGACTCGGGACATGGAGCTTGTAGAGACCAGGCCTGCAGGGGATGGAACCTTCCAGAAGTGGGCAGCTGTGGTGGTGCCTTCTGGAGAGGAACAGATACATGTGCCATGTGCAGCATGAGGGGTTGCCCGAGCCCCTCACCCTGAGATGGGGTAAGGCAAGAGATTAGTGGAGGGGGGGTCATGTCTCTTAGGTAAAGCAGGAGCCTCTCTGGAGAACTTCAGCAGGGTCGGTGCTGGGGGCTGAGGGTCAGGGACGCTCACCTTCCCCTTTTTTCCCAGAGCAGTCTTCTCAGCCCACCATCCCCATCGTGGGCATCGTTACTGGCCTGGTTCTCCTTGGAGCTGTAGTCACTGGAGCTGTGGTTTCTGCTGTGATGTGCAGGAAGAAGAACTCAGGTAAGGAATGGATGAGGAGTGGGGTCTGAGATTTCTTGTCCCACTGAGGGTTTCAAGCCCCAGTTAGAAGTGTGTCCTGCCTGGTTACTGGGAAGCACCATCCACACTCATGGGCCTACCCAGCCTGGGCCCTCTGTGCCAGCACTTACTCTTTTGTAAAGCACCTGTGACACTGAAGGACAGATTTATCACCTTGATGATTATGATGATGGGGACCTGATCCCAGCAGTCACAAGTCACAGGGGAAGGTCCCTGCTGAGGACAGACCTCAGGAGGGCAGTTGGTCCAGGACCCACACCTGCTTTCCTTATGTTTCCTGATCCTGTCCTGGATCAGCAGTTACACTTTCAGGAAACTTCTCTGGGATCAAAGGCTAGGGGGTTTGTTTAGGGCCGTATGGCCCTGACTCCTTTCTGGCCTCTCATAGGACATTTTCTTCCCACAGATAGAGTGAGCTACTCTGAAGCTGCAAGTAAGTATGAAGTGGGCTGATCCCTGAGATCCTTGGGATATTGTGGTCGGGAGCCCATGGGGGAGCTCACCCAACCCCAGATTCCTCCTCTAGCCGCATCTCCTCTGGGCTCTGACCAAGTCCTGTTTTTGTTCTACCCCAGGCAGCGACCATGCGCAGGGTTCTGATGTGTCTCTCACGGCTTGTAAAGGTGAGACGCTGGGGGACCTGATGTGTGGGGGGTGTTGGGGGCAATAGTGGATGCAGCTGTGCTATGGGGTTTCTTTGAATTGGATGTATTGAACATGTGATGGGCTGTTTAAAGTGTCATCCCTCACTGTGACGGATATGAATTTGTTCATGAATATTTTATTTTATAGTGTGAGACAGCTGCCTTGTGTGGGACTGAGAGGCAAGATTTGTTCACGCCTTCCCTTTGTGACTTCAAAAACCCTGACTCACTTTCTGCAAAGGCACCTGAATGTGCCTGTGTTCCTGTAGGCATAATATGAGGAGGTGGGGAGACCAACCCACCCCCATGTCCACCATGATCCTCTTCCCTCATGCTGACCTGTGTTCCCTCTCCAATAATTAATCATTCCTGCTCCATAGAGGTGAGGCTGAGATGTCTCCATCTCTGTCTCAACTTTATGTGCACTGAGCTGTAACTTCTTACTTCCCTATTAAAATTAGAATCTGAGTATAAATTTACTTTTTCAAATTCTTGCCATGAGAGGTTGATGGGTTAATTAAAGGAGAAGATTCCTAAAATTTGAGAGACAAAATAAATGGAAGACATGAGAACCTTCCAGAGTCCACATGTTTCTTATGCTGATTTGTTGCATGAGAGGAGAGTAGATGGGGCTGTGCCCAGTGGGTGCTCAGGCCACCGTGCACTTTATGTGGTCACTGCTCAGCTGGGTCATCTTTGCTGCTCCGTTGTCCTTGGCTGTATGATCCAGCCCTACGGGGCTTAGCGGGTTTTCTCCCCGTGTGCGGAGATGAGAGATTGTAATAAATAAAAGCACAAGACAAAGAGATAAAGAGAAAACAGCTGGGCCCGGGGGACCACTACCATCAAGATGCGGAGACCGGTAGTGGCCCCGAACAGCTGGGCTCGCTGATATTTATTGCATACAAGACAAGGGGCAGGGTAAGGAAGGTGAATCTTCTAACTGATTGACAAGGTGAAGCAAGTCACGTGATTACAGGATAGGGGGCCCTTCCCTTTTAGGTAGCATATGTCACCATTTTCTTTTCTGCACTTAAGATCAAAGACTTTAAGACTTTCACTATTTCTTCTACCATTTTCTACTATGAAATTCAAAGAGGAACCAGGAGTACAGGAGGAGCATGAAAGTGGACAAGGAGCATGACCACTGAAGCACAGCACCACAGGGAGGGGTTTAGGCCTCTGGATGACTGCGAGTAGCTCTGGATAATATCCAGCCTTCTACAAGAAGCTGGTGGAGCAGTGTTCCCCGACTCCTCCAAGAAAGGGAGACTCCCTTTCATGGTCTGCTAAGTAACAGGTGCCTTCCCAGACATTGGCATTGCCACTTGACCAAGGATCCCTCAAGCGGCCCTTATGCGGGCGTGACAGAAGGCTCATCTCTTGCCTTCTAGGTCACTTCTCACAATGTCCCTTCAGCACCTGACCCTATGCCCGCCGGTTATTCCTAGGTTATCTTAGTAATGCAACAAAGGGTAATATTAAAAGCTAATGATTAATAATGTTTATAATAATGATTGATAATTTTTCATGATCATCTCTATATCTAATTTGTATTATGACTATTCTTATTCTAACTATTTTCTTTATTATACTAAAACAGTTTGCGCCTTCAGTCTCTTGCCTCTGCACCTGAGTAATCCTCCACCCACACTTGGCCCTTCAGTAGAACCTTGTCCCACCATGACCTGTGATCACAGGGACTTGGATGTCACCTACGGCAGTCCCTGCATTCCAGGGTCCTTGTGGTATCAAGAGACAAATTTTCAGATCTTTCAAGCTCTTGCCCTCTTCCCAGGGCTCTTTCCTCATTGTATTTTCCATCTTTTCTGCAATCTTTTTAAAGGAACCAGATTCTGAAATTTGCCAAGAGGCAGGGTCCCGTAGTTTCTCATCATAGGTAACTTTCTGTTGGAACTCCTCTTCTGCACTCCTACTCTTCTTCCTGCCCTGAGTTGTAGTAATCCTAGTGCTGGCTCCAATAGAAACTCATCAATTTATAAAGCAGAGTCTAGTTTAGATTCATATGTGGTTGGAAAATTGGACCCATAAGCCTAGGGTTATCTTTCCTGAAGAGAAAAATATGGTTGTGTGCTGCAGTGTGCAGGAGAGTTAGTGTGGGGGGAGGGAGGGAGGGAGGGAGGACACACAAGCAGCCCTGGTGAGAAAAGCTCTGGTGGCACTGATGTCAGTGTGAGATGATGTTGTTCTGTAGCTGCCACAAAAATAAAGCATTTGTCCTGAGGCTACATTAATAAAGATATTGCCTCTAGAATAGAGTGGTTCTCTATGATCATTCCTTCAACTGACATTTGTTTCTGCTAGGTATATAACTGTTTTTGCATTTAGAAAGCATCATTAAAGTAAAAACAGAAAAATTTCGGGCCTTGTGGTGCATATGTTCTAGATGCAAGCTTGTCCAACCCGCAGCTCGTGGGCTGCATGTGGCCCAAGACAATTTTGAATGTGAGGACTTTTTTGCTTATCTGTGGTGCACCTGAGTCCCGGAGTGAGTGCACCCACCTCCCTCAGGGTCAGGAGTGAATGCTTTAGGAACCCTCCTTTTCAGTGACCTGAAAAAGATAGAGGGCACATTTACTGTGATAACCCAGAGTATCAGTCAAGGGGGCTTGACCTTCAAGGAGTTATGGGAAAGCTTAATAAAGGGTGGTGTCCCAGGGTCAGAAAAGATGGGCAGACAGCAAGAGCACTGCTTGATATCTATGATAAGCATGTAAGAATTGAGGAGCAAGCTTCATATTCAGAATCCAGTGGCTGAGGAAGTATCCATATCCCTAAGAGAAAGAACCTTGGGACACCATGACTGTTACATGCTGGGACAATTCCATAAGCCCTTCTGCAAAGGAGCCTATAGCCATTTAATCAGGAGATGGGATAAGTGTTAACATTGGGTGTGAGCTAACATTGCTGCCCAGATTCCCACAGCACCATTATGTCCCTATCACAGTGGGGCTTACAGAGGCCAGGGAATTAACCTGGACAAATTATGCCCCACGGTGGAATCACTGGGTCCATAAATCCTGTCCTGGTTATCTCCCCATTCTCTGTAAAAAGGATTCTCTGTAAAAAGATTACATCGCCCTAAAGGAGGACCTGAGCTCTTGGACCGCGGCGGCCATGGCGGCTCAGATTACCCAGCGCAAGTGGGAGGCGGCCCATGAGGCGGAGCAGCAGAGAGCCTACCTGGAGGGCACGTGCGTGGAGTGGCTCCGCAGATACCTGGAGAACAGGAAGGAGATGCTGCAGCGCACTGGTACCAGGGGCCACGGGGCGCCTCCCTGATCGCCTGTAGATCTCCCGGGCTGGCCTCCCACAAGGAGGGGAGACAGATGGGACCAACACTAGAATATCACCCTCCCTCTGGTCCTGAGGGAGAAGAATCCTCCTGGGTTTCCAGATCCTGTACCAGAGAGTGACTCTGAGGTTCCACCCTGCTCTCTGACACAATTAAGGGATAAAATCTCTGAGGCAATGACGGGAAGACGCAATTAAGGGATAAAATCTCTGAGGGAATGACTGGAAGACGATCCCTCATTTAGTGATCCCAAGTCACTAAATTTGGGGGTAGTTTGTTACACAGCAATGGATAACTAATGAAGCCCTCTTACATTTCCATTATTCTCTAGAGGTTAACTACATCTGTTTTATTTTCTCCTATTTTGATAATATTAGCCACACATAGGGTTTCTAGTTTCTCAACACCTATTCTTTTCTTTATTTTAGTTTCTTTTCTCCTTTGTTCCATCCTTTTTTTTTTTTCTTTTTTCTTTCTTTTTTTTTTTTTTTTCTTGAGACAAAGTCTCGTTCTGTCGCCCAGGCTGGAGTGCAGTGGCTCGATCTCGGCTCACTGCAAGCTCCGCCTCCCAGGTTCATGCCATTCTCCTGCCTCAGCTTTCCAAGGAGCTGGGACTACAGGCACCTGCCACCATGCCCGGCTAATTTTTTGTATTTTTAGTAGAGGCAGGGTTTCACCATGTTAGCCAGGATGGTCTCGATCTCCTGACTTCGTGATCTGCCTGCCTCGGCCTCCAAAAGACTGGGATTACAGGCATGAGCCACTGCGCCTGGCCTCTTCCTTCACTTTCCCCTTCCTTCTAGCCCTCCCTCCATCTCTTTCTTCTCTATTTCCATTCAACCTATCGCCTTCCCTCCTTCTTTCTCCCTTTCCTTCCCCTCCCCTTCCTTCTTTTCTTCTTTCACTTTTCCTCCATTCCTCCTTCTTTCTCTCTCTTCCTCCATTTTTTCCTTTTTATTATGAAATTTTCCTAATATATAAAATAACTCTATGTGATTGGGCTGTAAGTAAGCATTTTCTGAATCTATATGTCAAAAATATAATGTCATGTATATGAGAAACAAGTAAACAACAGGAAGTTATTAACAGAGTCTGAATAAAAATGCCCGCTATAATTCTACAGCCACGACAGTGGCTTTTAACTCAATTCCTTCAACGCAGTGTTTTCAGAACACATCATCAACATCAAGTATTACGCATTTATTGTAAAAGTTTAAGTAGCCACAATCACTTTGGAATTTGTATTATCATTATCTAGTATGGTTAAAGTCCATACAACCTATCATCCAACCAATCCATTCCTAATCATCCACTCTGGGGGGCTTTCTTGCCTATGTGCACAGGAGACACGCACACTAATATTTATGGCAAAAACTGGAATCAGCCACATATACATCAATAGGAAACTAGTGAAATTGTGGTATAACCATATGTAAGCCTTCAGCAGTAAAAATGAATGAATGACAGCCTCCCACACCACAGATAACTCCTACACATAATGTGCATCATGGGAAAATAAATGCAGTAGGAACTTGCTGTACAGGAAGCTTAAAAACCAGCAAAACCAACTGATATTTGTTTTGGGGATATATATATATATATATATATATATATATATATACACATACATATATATATGTGTGTGTATATATACACATACATATACACATATATACATATATGTGTATATATACACATACATATACACATATATACATATATGTGTATATATACACATATATATACACATATATACATATATGTGTATATATACACATATATACACATATATACATATATGTGTATATATACACATATATACACATATATACATATATGTGTATATATACACATATATACACATATATGTATGTGTGTGTGTGTATATATATATATATATATATATATATATATATACACATATACATATTGCACAAATCTTTGAAGAAATACAAAGGAATAAGTATCACAAGACTCAGCATGGAGTCTTCTGCTGAGACCAGCTCAGTCAGGGAGATCCTAACCCAGCGGTGCTAGAGGAATTAAAGACACACACACAGAAATATAGAGGTGTGAAGTGGGAAATCAGGGGTCTCACAGCCTTCAGAGCTGAGAGCCCCGAACAGAGATTTACCCGCATATTTATTACAGTCATTAGCATTGTTTCTATAGATATTAAATTAGTTAAAATATCCCTTATGGGAAACGAAGGGATGGGCCAAATTAAAGGAATAGGTTGGGCCAGTTAACTGCAGCAGGAACATGCCCTTAAGACACAGATCACTCATGCTATTGTTTGTGGCTTAAGAATGCCTTTAAGTGGTTTTCCACCCTGGGCAGGCCAGGTGTTCCTTGCCCTCATTCCCATAAACCCACAACCTTCCAGCTTGGGTGCTAAGGGCATTATGAACATGTTATGGTGCTGCAGAGATTTTGTTTATGGCCAGTGTCAGGGCCAGTTTATGACCAGATTTTGGGGGACTTGCTCCCAACAGTCTCCTTCTGGAGGATGACTGGGTAGCAGCCCAGGGTTGTTTTACAGTTTCGTGTTTTACACCAGTGCTGGGCACCCTGGTAGTTACTTGATTATAATTCCTTAAACAGAGTTTTCCAAATTAAAATATACCTGTTTTTTATAGAAATGAAAAAGAAAAGAATTTCAAAGTTCATTGCAAAGATTCTTAACAAGAACTACTTACATTGGAAGAAAACCACAGAGAATTGTAAGGAGCTATGTGACAGAGAGGACCAGGATGCCATGAAAACGGCCTTGGCTACATATAGGTCATTCGATCCTTGGCTCACTGGCGTCTCTCTAGATTTTCAATAATACAATGTTCAATATGCTGTGCAAGGTAATTTCATCTTGCAAAGATTTGATGTTACATTTTACCACACATACAACTGAATTAAACTTTTACAGAATTGGAAATGCACATCACTGATCAAAATAAATGAAACATGAAAAGCGTAGGAAGGAATACCCAGTGATGGAATAGCAAATATGAATGGAAACAGAATAAGACTGCTAAAAAGAAAAAAAAAATTCAGAAGCACGTAATAGCAGTGCTATTTAGAATCACAGTGGTGTCCAAATCACTTCTATCACATCTCATTCAATACCACAACAAAAGATGTTAAGTTTGTTATAGAATGCCCATTGAATAGCCAGTTTTTGAAAATAACTTGTCTCTCAATTCGAGCTAACCATTTCGGGCTACAGCATCAAGCCAAAATTATTGGCATCATGCTAAGCTAGATGTGTTTACTGAAGTATGAGATTCACATTTTTGTAAATGAAAAGCAATCAGATTAGGCAATTTTTTTCTGCACAGCAAAAGAAACTATCATCAATCAGAGTGAACAGACATGCTACAGAATGGGAGAAAAATTTTGCCATCTATCCATCTGACAAAAGTCTACTATTCAGAATCCACAAAGAACTTAAGCAAATTTACATGAAAAAAAACTTCATTAAAAAGTGGACAAAGAAAGTGAACAGACACTTCTAAAGAAGACATACATGTGGCCAACAAAAATATGAAAAAAAAAAGCTCACCATCACTGATCATTAGAGAAATGCAAATCAAAACGACAAATGAGATACCATCTTATGCCAGTCAGAATGGCAATTATTAAATAGTCAAGAAACAACAGATGCTGGTGAGGTTGGGGAGAAATAGGAATGCTTTTACACTGTTGGTGGAAAAGTAAATCGGTTAATCCATTGTGGAAGACAGTGACAGTGTGGCGATCCCTCAAAGATTTAGAATCAGAAATACCATTTGACCCAGCAATCCCATTACAGAGTATATACCTAAAAGAATGTAAATCATTCTATTATAAAGATATATGCATGTTTACATTCATGGCAGCACTATTCACAATAGCAAAGACATGGAATCAGCCCAAATGCCCATCAATGATGGTCTGGATAAAGAAAATGTGGTACATAGACACCATGGAATATTATGCAGCCATGAAAAGGAAGGAGATCAAGTCCTTTGCAGGGATATGGATGAAGATGGAAGCCACTATCCTCAGCAAACTCACACAGGAACAGAAAACCAAACACCACATGTTCTCATATATAATTGGGAACTGAGCAATGAGAACACATGGACACAGGGAGAGGAACAACACACACTGGGGCCAGTTGGGGGAGGGTGGTGATGGGAGGATCATTAGCAAAAATAGCTAATGCATGCCAGGGTTAATACCTAGGTGATGAGTTGACAGGTGCAGCAAACCAACATGGCACACATTTACCTATGTAACAAACCTGCACATCCTACACATGTACCCTGGAACTTAAAAAAAAATTAAATTAAAAGACAAGCTTAAAGAGTTAATGAAAAATAATTAGATACAAGAAGACTTTGATTTTCAGAAACCTGAAACAATAGTTATAATTTTGCTTTTAACGTATATTCAAATCCTTTGATACTGTTCCTTTCTAGAGGTGCAGCTTAATTCCCTCTCTTGAGTGTGGCTTGGACTTAATGAGGCACTTCTGAAATGGCCTGGTTCTGTGTTCCCACCCAAATCTCATCTTGAATTGTTATGCAAATTGTAATCCCTACCTATTGGGGGAGGGACCTCATGGGAGGTGATTGGATCATGGGGACGGTGCCCCCATGCTGTTCTCCTGATGCTGAGGGAATTCTCATGAGATCTGATGGTTTTATAAGGGGCTTTTCCCTGCTTCATTGTGCATTTCTCTCTCCTGTCACCACGTGAAGAAGGACGGGTTTGCTTCCACTTCTGCCGTGACTGTAAGTTTCCTGGGGCAGCCTCCTCAGTCATGCAGAACTGTGAGTCAATTAAATCTCTTTCCTTTATAAATTACCCAGTCTCATGTATTTCTTTATAGCAGTGTGAGAATGGACTAATACAACTTCTAACTTATAGAATAGTGCCAACATAACAGTTTGTGACTCTGGGTGTAGAACATAAAACTAACTGCGGCTTCCACCTTCTCTCTCTCTGAATCTGGGATCATGAGCTCTGGGGGAAGCCAGCCGCTCTGCCATAAGCAGCCCTGCAGGAAGGTCCACATGACTGAGAACTGAGGCCTTCTGGGAACAGACAACAAGGAACCAGGCCTTTTCCAACAGCCATGTGACTGATCCATGTTTCTTGTGAATTCCCAGCCCCAGCGAAGCCCTTGGATGCTGCGGCCCCTGGCTGACAACTGGAGTGCAGCCTTTTGAGAGGCCCTGAGCAGGAAGCACTCAGGGAAACCTTTCCTGGATTCCTGACAATTGGAAACTGTGGGAGATGAGAAATATTTGTTGTTTCGAGCTAAGTTTTACGTAATTTGTTATGCAATAGTAAATAATACATTTTCACAAGAGAAGATGTATTATTACACATCAAATTGCATTTGCTCTAAATGTGTCATCATCATCATTATTATTTTTGAGACAGGGTCTTGCTCTGTCACCCAGGCTGGAATGCAGTGGCATGATCACCATGCACTGCAGTGTCGAACTCTTGGGGTCAAGGGACCTTCTGACCTCAGCCTCCTGAGTAGCTGGGACTACCATCATGAACTACCATGCCTGGCTAATTTTCTAATTTTTTGTAGAGATGGAGGTTTTGCCCAGGTTGATCTTGAACTTCTGGAGTCAACAAATCTCCCTTACTCCACCTTCCACAGTGCTATGATGACAGGCGTGAGCCACCATACCTGGCCTAAATTAATTATAAGATATTAAACATGTAACTTAGTTTTAAAAGGTAAGGACAATTTCCATGGCTGAAGAGGATGTATTTTATGACCGTTCACAATGATCACTTTACTTGAACTTCACTTTCCAACTGTGTCCCAATTAAACACAAAAGGAAGATCCAACCCTTGCTAGGCTGATTCTATGAAGGCCTCAACAAGCAGCTCCTGGTCATTCACCTTCCTCCAGTTATTCAACCAACTCTAATATAGGTGCTGCTGTGAAGGGATTTAGCAGATATAATTAAGGGTCTCAATTAGTTGATTTATGCTGGGTTTATCCTGCTTGAACTGTCCTAATCAGGTGAGCCCTTGAAAGGACTGGGTTCTTCATGAGCATAGAGACTTACAGTGTGAGAGGGACTCAGCATGAGGGGTTTCCTCCACCATGGGCTTTGAAAAGGAAAGGGCTATGGGCCGGGCGCGGTGGCTCACGCCTGTAATCCCGACACTTTGGGAGGCCGAGGCGGGTGGATCATGAGGTCAGGAGGTTGAGACAATCCTGGCTAACAAGGTGAAACCCTGTCTCTACTAAGAAAAAAAAAAAAATTAGCAGAGTGTAGTGGTGGGCACCTGTAGTCTCAGCTACTTGGGACTGAGACAGGAGAATGGTGTGAACCCAGGAGGTGGAGCTTGTAGTGAGCAGAGATCATTGGGCCACTGTACCCCAGCCTGGGCTACAGAGCCAGACTCCGTCTCAAAAAAAAAAAAAAAAAAAAAAAAAAAATTAAGGGGCTGTGTAGGAAAGAATGCTGGTGAGCACCGGGAATTGAGCCCCTCCCAGTTCTCTACACTGACAGCTAGCCAGGAACAGGGACCTCAGTCTTTACAACTGCCAGAAACTGCATTCCGCCACCTCTGTATAAACCTGAAGGAGGATTCAAAATGAAAACACAGCTTTTGGAAGCCCAGAACAGAGATTCTATCCACATCTTGCCCAGATTTCTGACCAAGGAACTATAAGCAGATAAATGGGTGTTGTTTCGCCAGGCGTGGTAGTGTGCGAATGAATTGATATACACACTAGTTGCATAAAATAAAATCTTTCTGAACTTTTTCAGTGTTTTACAGTTTATAATTATCTGTGATGCAATTTAATACACTCATATTTCATTCATTAAATCAACAAAAATTAACTTAGTCCCTACAATGAACCAGGTATCCCCTCATATGCTCAAGTGCCTGACACTCCAGAAGCTTCACAAGACCGAGGTGGAGACACTGGAGTGTTTTAAGTGGAGAAATAACACACTCCGACTCACAGGAGCAGGACCACTGTGAAAAAAACAGTTACGTAGCAGGTCATGGGACAGTGCTAGTGTCACAATTCATGAGTGACAGTGTGGTGGGGACTAAGGGGACAGGAGGGCCTGAAGGATGAGAAGGACGGAGGGAAGGGCTGGAGAAGCAGGAGGTGAGGAAAAGGAGCAGAGGAAAGAATTTGAAAGCAGCAGAATTCTTAGGTTTAAATACATTGTTTTATGGATTTTAATACATCCATCTACAGAGCCTAGCAGGGTGTCCTTGGCAGTTGTCTTTTAATACCTCATGTGGGTCTGCCTAAAAACTAATTTTTTATGTTAATCAGGTTTAAAAAATACTAAGTGTTCCTATAAAATATACACAACACTTAGAAGTGGATACTTCCTAAAAACAGACAGTGCATGAGCACTAGTGAGGGGCATTGTGAGTGCATTGAACAGTTGCAACTTTGAGGTGAATAAAGCCTGTAATGGCTTCTGGTTGCAACATATAGGAACACAGTCGCTACTTTGTATTGAGGAGATGTCCTGGACTCACACAGAAACTCAGAGCTATGGAATGATGGTAAATTTAAAATACTACAAGCAGGAGTCACAGATACATTGTCTGGGAAAATGCAACTTAGTAGCTTTGTGAGTCCTGTTGTAAGGCTTTTGGACACATTTATACATCAAGGGGCCAAAGTCACATTTTTTACCTATTAGATTCCTGATCATTCAGGGGTTACCAAGATTCTGCTACCCACTGTAGTTAATAAACAAAGAGCAAATTGGTCTCTATTCTGTCTCATGCACTCAGGCGCAACTCTTCCCGATTAAAAACAAAAACAACAACAACAAAAATCTACACCTCCATTCCCAGAGCAAGCTTACTCTCTGGCACCAAACTCCATGGGATGATTTTTCTTCTAGAAGAGTCCAGGTGGACAGGTAAGGAGTGGGAGTCAGGGAGTCCAGTTCAGGGACAGAGATTACGGGATAAAAAGTGAAAGGAGAGGGACGGGGCCCATGCCGAGGGTTTCTCCCTTGTTTCTCAGACAGCTCTTGGGCCAAGACTCAGGGAGACATTGAGACAGAGCGCTTGGCACAGAAGCAGAGGGGTCAGGGCGAAGTCCCAGGGCCCCAGGCGTGGCTCTCAGGGTCTCAGGCCCCGAAGGCGGTGTATGGATTGGGGAGTCCCAGCCTTGGGGATTCCCCAACTCCGCAGTTTCTTTTCTCCCTCTCCCAACCTATGTAGGGTCCTTCTTCCTGGATACTCACGACGCGGACCCAGTTCTCACTCCCATTGGGTGTCGGGTTTCCAGAGAAGCCAATCAGTGTCGTCGCGGTCGCGGTTCTAAAGTCCGCACGCACCCACCGGGACTCAGATTCTCCCCAGACGCCGAGGATGGCCGTCATGGCGCCCCGAACCCTCGTCCTGCTACTCTCGGGGGCTCTGGCCCTGACCCAGACCTGGGCGGGTGAGTGCGGGGTCGGGAGGGAAACGGCCTCTGTGGGGAGAAGCAACGGGCCCGCCTGGCGGGGGCGCAGGACCCGGGAAGCCGCGCCGGGAGGAGGGTCGGGCGGGTCTCAGCCACTCCTCGTCCCCAGGCTCTCACTCCATGAGGTATTTCTTCACATCCGTGTCCCGGCCCGGCCGCGGGGAGCCCCGCTTCATCGCAGTGGGCTACGTGGACGACACGCAGTTCGTGCGGTTCGACAGCGACGCCGCGAGCCAGAGGATGGAGCCGCGGGCGCCGTGGATAGAGCAGGAGGGTCCGGAGTATTGGGACGGGGAGACACGGAAAGTGAAGGCCCACTCACAGACTCACCGAGTGGACCTGGGGACCCTGCGCGGCTACTACAACCAGAGCGAGGCCGGTGAGTGACCCCGGCCCGGGGCGCAGGTCACGACCTCTCATCCCCCACGGACGGGCCAGGTCGCCCACAGTCTCCGGGTCCGAGATCCGCCCCGAAGCCGCGGGACCCCGAGACCCTTGCCCCGGGAGAGGCCCAGGCGCCTTTACCCGGTTTCATTTTCAGTTTAGGCCAAAAATCCCCCCAGGTTGGTCGGGGCGGGGCGGGGCTCGGGGGACCGGGCTGACCGCGGGGTCCGGGCCAGGTTCTCACACCGTCCAGAGGATGTATGGCTGCGACGTGGGGTCGGACTGGCGCTTCCTCCGCGGGTACCACCAGTACGCCTACGACGGCAAGGATTACATCGCCCTGAAAGAGGACCTGCGCTCTTGGACCGCGGCGGACATGGCAGCTCAGACCACCAAGCACAAGTGGGAGGCGGCCCATGTGGCGGAGCAGTTGAGAGCCTACCTGGAGGGCACGTGCGTGGAGTGGCTCCGCAGATACCTGGAGAACGGGAAGGAGACGCTGCAGCGCACGGGTACCAGGGGCCACGGGGCGCCTCCCTGATCGCCTGTAGATCTCCCGGGCTGGCCTCCCACAAGGAGGGGAGACAATTGGGACCAACACTAGAATATCGCCCTCCCTCTGGTCCTGAGGGAGAGGAATCCTCCTGGGTTTCCAGATCCTGTACCAGAGAGTGACTCTGAGGTTCCGCCCTGCTCTCTGACACAATTAAGGGATAAAATCTCTGAAGGAATGACGGGAAGACGATCCCTCGAATACTGATGAGTGGTTCCCTTTGACACACACAGGCAGCAGCCTTGGGCCCGTGACTTTTCCTCTCAGGCCTTGTTCTCTGCTTCACACTCAATGTGTGTGGGGGTCTGAGTCCAGCACTTCTGAGTCCTTCAGCCTCCACTCAGGTCAGGACCAGAAGTCGCTGTTCCCTCTTCAGGGACTAGAATTTTCCACGGAATAGGAGATTATCCCAGGTGCCTGTGTCCAGGCTGGTGTCTGGGTTCTGTGCTCCCTTCCCCATCCCAGGTGTCCTGTCCATTCTCAAGATAGCCACATGTGTGCTGGAGGAGTGTCCCATGACAGATGCAAAATGCCTGAATGATCTGACTCTTCCTGACAGACGCCCCCAAAACGCATATGACTCACCACGCTGTCTCTGACCATGAAGCCACCCTGAGGTGCTGGGCCCTGAGCTTCTACCCTGCGGAGATCACACTGACCTGGCAGCGGGATGGGGAGGACCAGACCCAGGACACGGAGCTCGTGGAGACCAGGCCTGCAGGGGATGGAACCTTCCAGAAGTGGGCGGCTGTGGTGGTGCCTTCTGGACAGGAGCAGAGATACACCTGCCATGTGCAGCATGAGGGTTTGCCCAAGCCCCTCACCCTGAGATGGGGTAAGGAGGGAGACGGGGGTGTCATGTCTTTTAGGGAAAGCAGGAGCCTCTCTGACCTTTAGCAGGGTCAGGGCCCCTCACCTTCCCCTCTTTTCCCAGAGCCGTCTTCCCAGCCCACCATCCCCATCGTGGGCATCATTGCTGGCCTGGTTCTCTTTGGAGCTGTGATCACTGGAGCTGTGGTCGCTGCTGTGATGTGGAGGAGGAAGAGCTCAGGTGGGGAAGGGGTGAAGGGTGGGTCTGAGATTTCTTGTCTCACTGAGGGTTCCAAGACCCAGGTAGAAGTGTGCCCTGCCTCGTTACTGGGAAGCACCACCCACAATTATGGGCCTACCCAGCCTGGGCCCTGTGTGCCAGCACTTACTCTTTTGTAAAGCACCTGTTAAAATGAAGGACAGATTTATCACCTTGATTACAGCGGTGATGGGACCTGATCCCAGCAGTCACAAGTCACAGGGGAAGGTCCCTGAGGACCTTCAGGAGGGCGGTTGGTCCAGGACCCACACCTGCTTTCTTCATGTTTCCTGATCCCGCCCTGGGTCTGCAGTCACACATTTCTGGAAACTTCTCTGAGGTCCAAGACTTGGAGGTTCCTCTAGGACCTTAAGGCCCTGACTCCTTTCTGGTATCTCACAGGACATTTTCTTCCCACAGATAGAAAAGGAGGGAGCTACTCTCAGGCTGCAAGTAAGTATGAAGGAGGCTGATGCCTGAGGTCCTTGGGATATTGTGTTTGGGAGCCCATGGGGGAGCTCACCCACCCCACAATTCCTCCTCTAGCCACATCTTCTGTGGGATCTGACCAGGTTCTGTTTTTGTTCTACCCCAGGCAGTGACAGTGCCCAGGGCTCTGATGTGTCTCTCACAGCTTGTAAAGGTGAGAGCCTGGAGGGCCTGATGTGTGTTGGGTGTTGGGCGGAACAGTGGACACAGCTGTGCTATGGGGTTTCTTTCCATTGGATGTATTGAGCATGCGATGGGCTGTTTAAAGTGTGACCCCTCACTGTGACAGATACGAATTTGTTCATGAATATTTTTTTCTATAGTGTGAGACAGCTGCCTTGTGTGGGACTGAGAGGCAAGAGTTGTTCCTGCCCTTCCCTTTGTGACTTGAAGAACCCTGACTTTGTTTCTGCAAAGGCACCTGCATGTGTCTGTGTTCGTGTAGGCATAATGTGAGGAGGTGGGGAGACCACCCCACCCCCATGTCCACCATGACCCTCTTCCCACGCTGACCTGTGCTCCCTCCCCAATCATCTTTCCTGTTCCAGAGAGGTGGGGCTGAGGTGTCTCCATCTCTGTCTCAACTTCATGGTGCACTGAGCTGTAACTTCTTCCTTCCCTATTAAAATTAGAACCTGAGTATAAATTTACTTTCTCAAATTCTTGCCATGAGAGGTTGATGAGTTAATTAAAGGAGAAGATTCCTAAAATTTGAGAGACAAAATAAATGGAACACATGAGAACCTTCCAGAGTCCACGTGTTGCTTATGCTGATTTGTTGCAGGGGAGGAGAGTAGATGGGGCTGTGCCCAGTTTCTGTTCCGGCCACTATGGGCTTTATGTGGTCACTGCTTGGCTGGGTCATCTTTGCTGCTCCATTGTCCTTGGCCCTTCAGTAGAACCTTGTCCCACTAAGACCTGTGATCACAGGGAGTTGGATGTCACCTAGGGTGGTCCCTGCATACAAATCTCCTTGCGGTATCAAGAGACAAATTTTCAGACCTGTCTAGGTCTTGCCTTCCTCCCAGGGCTTTTTCCTCAATTGTATTTTCAATTTTTCTCCAATCTTTTTAAAGGAACCAGATTGTGACATTTGCAGAGAGGAGTGGTCCCATAGTTTCTCATCATGATTAACTTTCTGTTGGAACTCCTGTTCTGCCCTCCTACTCTTCTTCCTGCTCTGAATTGTAGTAATCCTAGTGCTGGCTCCAATCCAAACTCATAGATTTATAAAGCAGAGTCTAATTTAGATTCATATGTGGTTGGAAAATTGTACCCATAAGGCTAGGGTTATTGTTCCTGAAGAGAAATATATGGTTTTGTGCTGAAGTGTGCAGGAGGGTTGGTGTGGGAGGAGGGAGGACACACAAGCAGCCCTGGTGAGAAAAGCACTGGCGGCGTGGATGTCCATGTGAACTTATGTTCTTTAGCTGCCACAAAACAGCATTTGCCCTGTGGCTACATTAATAAAGGTATGGGCTTTAGAATAGGGAGATGCTCTACAGTGGTCATTCATTCAACTGACATTTGTTGTCTGCTAGGGATATGACTGCTTTTGCATTTAGAAAGCATCCTTAAAGTAAAAACAGAAAAATTTCTGGGGTTATGGTGCATACGTTCTAGATGCAGGCTTGTCCAACCCGCGGCTCGTGGGCTGCATGTGGCCCAGGACAATTTTGAATGTGAGGACTTTTTTGCTTATCTGTGGTGAACCTGAGTCCTGGAGTGAGTGCACCCACCTCCCTCAGGGTCAGGAGTGAATGCTTTAGGAACCCTCCTTTTCAGTGACCTGCAAAAGATAAAGGGCACATTTACTGTGATAACCCAGAGTATCAGCCAAGGGGGCTTGACCTTCAAGGAGTTGTGGGGAAGGTTAATAAAGGGTGGTGTCCCAGGGTCAGAAAAGATGGGCAGACAGCAAGGTCACTGCTTGATATCTATGATAAGCATGTGGAATTGAGGAGCAAGCTTCAGATTCAGAATCCAGTGACTAAGGACATATCTATATCCCTAAGAGAAAGAACCTTGGGACACGATGATGGTTACATGCTGGGACAATTCCATCAGCCCTTCTGCAAAGGAGCCTATAGCCATTTAATCAGGAGATGGGATAAGTATTAACATTGGGTGTGAGCTGACATTGCTGCCCAGATTCCCACAGCACCATTATGTCCCCCATCACACTGGGGCTTACAGAGGCCAGGGAATAAACCTAGACAAATTATGCCCCATGGTGGAATCACCAGTTCCATAAATCCTGTCCTGGTTATCTCCCCATTCTCTGAGTGCATAATTGGCCTTGATGCACTGGCAACTGGAGTCACCCCACACTGTGTCCCTAGTCTGGAGAGTAAGGGATCTCATTGTGCTGAAGCCCAAAGGGAAACATCCCTCATACAAGCCAAACCAGAAGCAATATTGTGCCCCAGGGTGGGTCTTGTGGAGGGTACTGCAGGTATTATAGGGGTGGCACTGCCATTACAGACCTGAACGATGCGGGGTGTTGTTGGGATTGCCTGTTATCTCCATATAACTCAGCAATCTGTACCTGCAGAAGCCTGATATGGCTAAAGAATGAATGGAATTACTCCAGACTTGACCAAGTAGGAGTCCTGATTGCAGCTGCCATGCTGGCTGGATATCACTGCCTGGGGAGATTAATAAGGCCTCAGGCACATGGCAAGCAGCTGTGGATTTGGTGAGTGCATTCCCTCCCATTTCATTTAGAAGATGGATATGGAATGATTCACATTCACATGGGATTTATAATACATTTATTGATAGCTTGCATCAGGGCTACCTTAACTCCTCAACCTTCTATAAATATCACCTTAAGAGACCTGGACAAATCAGACATCCCAATGAATACTAAATCTCTTCATTTCATTGGCAATATCACATAAATTGGGAAGGATGAACAACAGCAGGAAAGTACGCTGAATTCCCTGGCAAAACATGTGCACTACAGAAGGTGAAGATAAACCTTACAGAGCTTCAAGAGTGGCCACTGCAGTGAAGTGTTATGGGTCCAGTGGTTAGGGGCATGCAGAGCTCCCCGCCCCCCCCCCACCACAAAGTAAAAGACAAACTTGCATCTTGCATCCTCACCAGAAGGAAGGAAGCACACTACTTGATGAGCCTCTCTGGGTTCTGGCAACACCACATTCCACATCTAAGTTTATTGCTTTGGCTGACACTCTGGGTGATATAGGAGGAGGCCAGCTTTGAGTGGGGCCTGGACTGGAAAGGACACTGCAGCAGACCCAGGCTGTGGTGCAGTCAGTCACCATCCCTCAGACCCCTGGTGCTGGAGGTGGCGGTCTGGGGAAAGAAGCAGGATGGAGCTCAACCAAGCATCAGTGGGAAAGTCAGAATGCAGGGCCTGGGATCAGGAGTAAGGCCATGGAGTCCACAGCAGAGAAACATGCTCCATGTTAGAAGCAACTTTTAGCATGTTACTGGCCCTGATAAGATAGAATGCTTGCGCATAGGACACCAAGCAACCATGTGATTCCAAGTGCCCGTGTGTATTGGCTTCTATGTGACCCATAGAGTCATTCATTGGACAGGCCCAGCGGCATCTATCATGAGACGAAAATGGTCCATGTCGGTTGAGCCTCAATTCCATGTTAACACCCACAGAAAACACCCAGTCCTGATGTGGCCCTGAATAATCAAACAAATTGAAGACAAATTGAAGTTAGCCAGTCTGCATCATGGATCAGCCCAGGCCTGATAGGAAGAACCCATGAGTGGAGCAACCACAGTGGCAAGAATGAGGCTACAAATGAGTCCAGCAGCACTGTCTCTCCACTACCAAGGCCCACCCAGCTACTGCTTCCTCTGAATACTCTGCTCATGAGCATTGCAGACCAATGATAGGCACTGATAGGGCACCATTTCTTAAAGTAACTGACTAGCCCCTAAGTGACAAGTTGAATAGCTTGAACACCATCCATCCTGGAAGGGGCAGAAGTTTATCCTCACAGGGATAGGCTCACAGGGATTCGATGTGGTGTGGTTTTCCTCTCTGCTCTCAGACCCTCAGTCAACACTACTATTGGCATTCCTGATCCACTGGCTCAGAATTTCAGTACATTATCTGCCTGGGGGACACACCTCTTGGAGAAGAGGATGAAGTGTGGGTCCTGACCATGGGATCCCCTGGTCGTATCACCACCTGCGCCTCTCAAGTGCTGCCAGGCACACAGAGTCATGGACAGGACTCTACAGGCACAACTCAGTACCAGCTTGGATGAAATCCTCTGAGGAATGGGTGCCATCTTTCAGGATGTGATGCATGTATTGAATCAAAGACGTCTCTAAGGCACTGTTTTCAGAAGGAAGAATACGTGGGTCCAAAAACCAAGAAGTCAAAGCAGGTGTGTCTCATTCCTTATATTCACCCCCAGGGTGATTTACTTATAAGTAAATAAATAAATACATAAATAACATCAATACATAAATAAATTTATGCATGTATGTATGTACGTATGTATGTATGTATTTTATTCATTATATTCACCCCCAGGGTGATTTTGCTCCTCTTACTTCCAAAATCTGGACTCTGCAGGGTAGGAGGTCCTGGTTT
This sequence comes from Homo sapiens, assembly GCF_000001405.40. Classification (NCBI taxonomy): domain Eukaryota; kingdom Metazoa; phylum Chordata; class Mammalia; order Primates; family Hominidae; genus Homo; species Homo sapiens. The sequence goes on from NT_167245.2 coordinate 1,205,287, forward strand.
CCCAAAGAGGACACCCTCGCAAGGAGACAAATGAGAGTCCATGGAACTACACATTGTGGTTGCACCCAGGGATATTTGAATAGTATGTGCCCAGAGACAAGCAGGTGAGAAGAGGAGGAGGCAGGGCTGCTATCACACAATGAGGGCAGGAGAAGTGTGTGTGGAAACCAGGAATCCACTTGGGGACATCCTGGTTTCCCTTGTCCGTTGTGTGAGCAGAATCATCCAGCAACCCAGCCTGAGAGGGTTTGATATTCAAGAGCCCAGAACCCTCAGGAAGGAAGGATTGAGTGATACTCCTAGGTAATGTCCCAAGTCTCTGCTTCTGTGCTCTGACATCCTCAGCAGGATTAGTGCAGAAGCCCTGCTTCCATGAGTTGTTCCCAGCCAGTGACTGGTCACAGCAAGCACACTAAGGCAGGCCATTACTGGGAGACATGGGACTCCTCTGATGGCCAAATGTGGCTCCAGGACTCCTCCATGCCCTTCCTCAACTCTCCTTAGACTGCCTCTGCTCTAGGATGCGTCGAACAGACCTTGTCTCCTTCTGTCCAGCACTTGGGGTCACACTTGCATCATTGTCTGCCGCCTTTTCCAGGGATTTCTGGCTCGCTTCTCATATTCCCTTACAGGTGTGTCCCCTCATAAGATGCCGTAGACTTTAAGCTCATCTTGGCATCTGCTCCTCGGAGGACTTGGACTAAAAAGCATTGCCATGTGCACACCAATAACTCTTACTTATTCCAACCTGTAAAATCCATCTCTTTATCCAACTTCTGCCACCCCCATAAAATCTATTTTGTGCGCGTTTGTAGTATCTCTTTGAAATTAACAGATATTTGTTGTATTAAGCCACTAAATTTTGAGGTAGTTTGTGACACAGCAGTTAATAACTATTAAGGCTTTCTTAAGTTTCTGTTATTCCATGGATGTTATCTACATCTTTTAATTCCCTGCATTTTAATAATATTAGCCACACTTGCTGTTTCTAATCCTTTCCTCCTATTCTTTTTTGAAAATGTTCATTTTGTCTTTCTCTGTCCTTCCATCTTTCTTTCCTCCTTTCCTCCCTCAGAGCTTTCTCCCTCCCTCCACTTTTTCACAAACTCTATGTGGTTAGGCTAAAAAGAAGCATTATTTGAATCTTATGCTTAAAGTATAATGCCATAATTTACAGGATAAAAGTAAAGAAAAGGAAGTTATTAATGGAATATGAAAAAATGCCTAGGGTGATTCTGTAGCCAAGACAGTGGTTTTTTAACATGTAATCTCCACCTTCAACTGAGTGTTTTCAGAACACATGAGCAACATAAGTTCTTTCCCATTCTTGGTACAAGCACTTGGGAAATCAAATTAGCCTTATCTTGTATGATTAAGGTCCATACACTGTATAATCCCACCACCTGCTCCTGATCATACACTCTGGGGATATTTTTGGCTATGTGTCCCAGAGACGTGTACACCAATGTTTATGGCAAAAAAACTGGAAACAATCACATATGCATCAATGGGAATTAACAAAATTGTGATATAATCCCTAAAAGTAAAATTTTAGCAGTAAAAATGATTGAACAGCACCTTCCCACATCAGAGATAACTCTCCTACACATAACGTGCATCACAGGAGAATACATATAGTGTGAGTTCGCTGTACAGGGAAGTTAAAAAAACAGGTCAGACTGTGATTTGGGTATATATATTTATTGTAAAAATCTTTAGAGACAGTGCAAAGGACTAGTAAATACAAGACTCAAGATAGAGGTTCCTTTTGGTGGATAGGATTGGGCAACAGTCTAGGGTGGCTTCATAGGTTCTGTTTCTTATGCCAGGAGAGGATGTCCAGGTAATTAGTTACTTGATCATAAATCTTTATTTATTTATTTATTCATTTATTTTTGAGATGGAGTCTCACTCTTGTTGCCCAAGCGGGAGTGCAGTGGTGTGATCTTGTCTCACTGCAACCTCCGCCTCCCATGTTCAAGCGATTCTCCTACCTCAGCCTCTGAGTAGCTAGGATTACAGGCACCTGCCCTGATGCCCGGCTAATTTTTGTATTTTTCGTACAGACTGTGCTTCACCATGTTGGCCAGGCTGGTCTCCAACTCCTGATCTCAGGTGATCCACCCACTTCGGCCTCCCAAAATGCTGGGATTAGAAGCATGAGCCACCACTCCCGGCCCACAAATATTTATAGTGGCAATTTTCAAAATGCACCTTGTGTGCCATTCCTGATTATTTGGAAATGAAAGAGAAAAGAAAACACAAAAGTTCATTGCAAGGATCCTTAGCGATAAATACATGAGTTAAAACAAAGCCACAGCCAATTGTAAGGAGCCATGTGACAGAGAGTACCAGGATGCCATGAAAAAATAGCCTTGGCTAGAAATAGGTCATTTGATTCTTGGCTAATTGGCAACTCTCTACATTCTCTGGTGTACAATGTTCAATCTGATGTGCAAGGCAATTGTATCTCGCAAATAATTTGAGAATTTGATATGTTGCTCAATTTTACCACAGATACAAGTGAATTAAACTTTTACAGAATAGAAAAAAAGCACTGTCGAGCAAAATAAATTAAATGAAAACACATAAAGGAATAACTAGTGATGAAATAGCAATAAGAATGGAAAACACGAAAGAGTTTCTTTTACAGCAACATTAGAAGCACAAAATAACTGTATTTTTCAGAATCATACTGGAGTCCAACTCACTTCTACTACATCTAATTAAAAAACACAGCGAAAGATGTTAAACTGATCAATGGATGCCCACTGAATACCCAGTTATTGAAAAATCTTGTTCCTAGATTGGAGTTAACCATTTCCGCCTACTACATCAAACCAAATCGTTGTTCGTGATGCTAAGCTAGCTGTACAGACAAAGATGTGAGACACATTTTCTCTAACTGCAAAGCACCGATTAGGCAAATATTTTTGCAGAAGCTTGAGTAAGAAAATTGACATTTTGGGCATTCTTAAACGGAATTAGTAGCTTCTGAGGAAAAAGATAGTTATGATTGTAAAGGCATTATTATACGGCACCAGTCTTGGGACTCTTTGATCTAGCTACTGTATTTTCTCAACTTTCTTGCAACTCATCAAAGAGAACATTAATATTAAAGGCATTTGCAAAAAAATCTGAGATATTGTTGTATCTCCATTCTCTGTCTCAAAGTTTTATTCATCACTTTACAAAAGATAATTTTAAAGTATTAAAGAAAATCAGTCAGATACAAGAAGTATTTGATTTACAAAATCCTGAAACAATAATGTTAATTGTGGTGCCAGCTACTTGGGAGGCTGAAGGAGGAGCATTGATGGCATGAGCCCAGGAGGTTGAGGCTTCAGTAAGTCATGAGCATGCCACTGCATTCCAGCCAGGGCAACAGAGTGATACTTTGTCTAAAAATAACTAACTAACTAACTAACTAAATAAATAAATAAATAAATAAATAATGGAGGCAGTGCATGAGCCCTGGTGAAGGGCACTTTGGCTGCATTGAGCACTTGCAGATTTGAGGTGATTACATTCTGTACGTTACTTAACATGCACACTGTACATACTTAACATGCATATAAATTATTTGATACTCCTCCTTGCAGAGGTGCAGCTTCATTCCCTTCCTGTGAGTGTGGCCTGAACTTAATGATTCGCTTACAGACTGATAGAGTAATGCTGAGATAATAGTTTGTGACTCTGGGTGTAGATCATAAGACTCACTAAGTCTGGGAGCGGTCGCTCACGGCTGTAATCCCAACAGTTTGGGAGGTCAAGAGGGTGGATCATGAAGTCAGAAGTTCGAGACCAGCCTGGCCAAGACGGTGAAACCCCGTCTCTACTAAAAATACAAAAATTAGCCAGGTGTGGTGGTGCATGCCTGTAATCCCAGTTGCTCAGGAGGCTGAGGCAGGAGAATCACTTGAACCTGGAAGTCGGAGGTTGCAGTGAGCCAAGATCCAGCCACTGCATTCCAGCCTGGGTGACAGGGTGAGACTCTGTCTGAAAAAACAAACAAACAAACAAACAAAAACTCACTGCAGCTTCTACTTTGGTTCTGGTTTTCTCTTTCTCTGGGATCATGAGCCTTGGGGGAAGCCAGCTGCTGTGTCATAAGCAGGCCTGTGGAAAGCTCCAAGTGACTAGGAAGTGAGGCCTCCTGGGGCCAGACAATAAGAAGATGAAGCCTCTTCCAACAGCCATGTGGGATATTCTTGTGACTTGTGAATCCCCAGCCCCATTTGAGCCCTCAGATGATAAAGCCCTGGATGACAACTAGACCGCAATTTTGTGAGTGGCCCTGAGCCAGAAGAACTTTGAGAAACCTTTCCTGGATTCCTGACAACTAGAAACTGTGGAACATGACAAATATTTGTTGATTTGAGTTGCTAAGTTTTAAGTGACTTGTTATGCATCAGTAGATAACTAATACACCTTCACAAGAAAGGATGAATCATTGAATTTTTCATTTGCTCTAAATTGATTATAAGATATTAAACATGTCATTTGCTTTTAATATTTAACAAGAATTTTCATGGTTATATAAGATATATTTTATTATCACTAACAATGATCTATTATTTTTACCTTCAATTTGTATGTTCTATTCAAACACAAAAGGAAGATCCAGGCTATGCTAGGGTGATTCTATGATGACACCCCAATAACCACCCTTGGTTACTCACATTACCCCAGTTACTCTGTTGACACTAATGTAAGTGCTGCTGTGAAGGGATTTTGCAGATGTATTCCAGGTCCCCTGTCAGTTGGCTTTAAGATGGGGATTATCCTGCTTGGACGGTCCTAATCAGGTAAGCTCTGAAAAGGACTGGGTTCTTCCTGACAATAGAGACTCACAGTGTGAGAGGGATTCAGCGTGAGGGGCTTCCTCCACTGTGGGCTTTGAAAATGGTGGGATCATGGGGAAAGAACACTGGTGGCCAATAGGAATTAGAAACCCTCCCCACTGTCTACTCTGATAGCCCGAAGGAAACAGGGACCTTAATCCTACAATTGCCAGAAACCGAATTCTGCCAACAAACTCTACATAAGCTTGGGGGAGAACCCCAATCTTAAGATGAGGATACAGCTTTGCGAAACTCTGAACAAAGAGTCTATCACATTAGGCCTGGATTTCTGATGAAGGAAATGCAGACAAATAAATGAGTGTTCTTTTAAGCCACTAAGTTTGTGGTAATTGGTTATGTACTAATAGAAAATTCATAAACAGATTCAACAGCTAGGCATATGACATTTTCTCCAATGGAATGAATTTATGAACTGATATGCATAGTAGTTGCATAAAACCAAATGTTTCCTAACTTGCTTTGCATTTTTCATTTTGTGATTTTTGTGCGATACAATTTTTAACACAATCATATTTCATTCATTCAAGAAAATTAACTTAGTTGTGCCAGATATGCTTTTATATGCTGCAGACACAACTTTGATCAAAACAACCCAAAGCCCCTGTGCTCATGTGCCTTCCATTCTAGACGCTTCTTGAGAGTGAGATGGAGTCATTGGAGTGTTTTAAGTGAAGAAATGACACAATCTGACTCACATTAGCAGGATTTCTGACCATTGTTGGGAGAACAGTCATGGGCAGCAGGTGAGGGGACAGAGCTAGGGCCACAATTCAGTAGTGACAGAGTAGTAGAGACTAAGGGGAGAGGAGGGCCTGATGGGTGACAGGGACAGAGAGAAGGGCTGGAGAAGCAGGAGGTGAGGTAAAGGAACAGAGACAAAGAATTCTAAAGCAATGGAATTCTCAGACTTAAACACAGGGTTTTATAGATTTTTAATCCATTTATCCTCAGAGCCTGGCACAGTGTTACTTGCACCTTGATCTTTAATACATTCTGTGGGGCTGTCTAATAACTAATTGCCTCCTTATGATAAACAGGTTAGAAAAGAAGACCAAGTGTCCCAATAAAATATGCACATAGCTTAGATGTGAATAATTCCTAAATATAGGCAGGTGCATGAGATGGCCATTGCGGCTCATGCCTGTAATACCAGCATTTTGGGAGGCTGAGGCAGGAGGATCACTTGAGCTCAGGAGTTCAAGACTAGCCAGAGCAACATAGGGAGACCTCATTTCTACAAATTTTTTTTTAGAAAAATTAGCCAGGAGTGGTGGTACAAGCCTGTGGTGCCAGATACTTGGAGGCTGAAGGAGGAGCATTGATCGCATGAGCCCAGGAGGTCGAGGCTTCAGTGAGTCATGAACGTGCCACAGCACTCCAGCTAGGGCAACAGAGTGATACTCGGTCTAAAAATAACTAACTAACTAAATAAATAAATAATAAATAAAGGCGGTGCATGAGCACTGGTGACGGGCACTTTGGCTGCATTGAGCACTTGCAAATTTGAGGTGATTAAATTCTGTACAGGCTCCTGGTTGCAATATACGGTAACACATTGTGCTTTGTATTGAGATGTCCTGGACTCGCGCACACAAACTCAGGGCTATAAGATAAAGATAATTTAAAAATACAACAGACCAGAGTCACAGATACACAGTCTGGGAAAGTAAAACTTAACTTTGTGAGTCTAACTGCAATGCGTTTAGACACATTTATATATAATGGGGCCAAAAATCACCTCTTTTACAAATTAGATTCGTGACCATTCAGGGGCTACCAAGATTGTGCTAGCCACTGTACTGCGCTACCCACTGTTACTAAGATTGTGCTACTCCGCTGCGGGACCAGCGGAAATCCTCCACCCAATAAAAGCCCCAGGCGCCTATACCGGATTCCATTTTCAGTTCAGGCCCAAATCCCTGGGGGGTTGGTGGAGGCTGAGGCGGGGCTCAGCGGCCTGGGCTGACCGCGGTCGCTGGGAATGGGTCTCACACCCTCCAGTGGGTACACAGCTGCGACGTGGACTCGGACTGCAGTCTCCTCAGTGGGTATGAACATACCCTATCACGGCGCCAGTTACCTCGTCCGAAACCAGGAACTGCGCTCTTGGACTGCAGCGGACAAGGCGGCTCAGATGCCCTGGCGGAGGAACAGGCAGAGCTGCTCAAAACCTACCTGCAGGGAAGGTGGGCGGAGTGGCTCAGCAAAGTCCTTAAGAATGGGAAGGAGAGGCTGCAGTGCCCAGGTACCAGTGGCCACGGGGTGCCTCCCTGATCTCCTGCAGATCTCCTTGAGTCACATTCCAAAAGAAGGGAAGGAAAATGGGACCAACGCTAAAACATCCCTCTCCCTCTTGTGAGGAGGAAGAGTCCTCCCGGGTTTTCAGATCCTATACTAGAGAGTGACTGAGGGCCTGCCCTGCACTCTGGGACAGTTAAAGGACGAAGTCTCTGAGGGAAAGGAGGGGAAGACAATCCCTGAAATACTGATCCGCGGTCCCCTTTGTCCCCACAGCAGCCTTGGGCACCAGGAATTTTCCTCTCAGGCCTTGTTCTCTGCCTCACACTCAATGTGTATTTGTGGGTCTGATTCCAGCTTTTTTGACCTCGGCCTCCGCTCAGGTCAGGACCAGAAATCTCTGTTCCGGCCTCAGACACTAAAACTTTCTAAGGAATAGAAGATTGCCCCAGGTGCCTGTGTCTAGACTGGTGTCTGAGTTGCTCCCTTCCCCACTTCAGGTGTCCCGTCAATTTTCAGGATGGTCCCATGAGGTGGAATGTCCCATGAGGAATGCAAAGTGCCTGAATTTTCTGACTCTTCCCCTCAGAACCCCAAAGACTCACATGACCCACCACCCCATCTCTGACCATGAGGCCACCATGAGGTGCTGGGCTCTGGGCTTCTACCCTGTGGAGATCACACTGACCCAGTAGTGGGATGGACAGGACCAAATGTAGGATGCAGAGGTTGTGGAGACCACACCTGCAGGGTACAGAACCTTCCAGAAGTGGGCAGCTGTGGTGGTGTCTTCTGGAGAGGAGCAGAGATACACATGCCATGTGCAGCACGATGGGCTGCCAGAGCCCCTCACCCTGAGATGGGTAAGGAAGGGGATGAGGGGTCATGTCTCTTCTCACGGGAACTAGGAGCCCTTCTGGAGCCCTTCAGCAAGGTCAGGGTTTGAGGCCTGATGGTCAGGGCCCCTCACGTTCCCCTCCTTTCTTACAGCTGTCTTCCCAGCCCACCATCCCCATCATGGGCATCGTTACTGTCCTGGTTGTTCTTGGTGCTGTTTTCACCAGAGCTGTGGTCACTGCTGTGATGTGAAGAATAAGAGCCCAGGTAGGAAAGGGGTGAGCTCCGAGTTTTCTTCTTCCATTGGTGGATTCCCAGCCCCAGATGGGAGTTGGCTTGTATCCTGCCTAGTCATGAGGCACCATCTCTGTCTATCAACACTTACTCTTTTGTAAAGAACTTGTGAAAATGAAGGACAAATTTATCACCTTCATTGGAGTCATGGGAACCTGACTCCCAGCAGTCACAGGTCAGGGGAAGGTACCCGCAGAGGACAGACCTCACTAGGACAATTAGTCCAGTTTCAACACATCCTCTTACCTAGGGTTTCCTGATTCTGACCTGGGTCTGCAGTCACAGTTCTGGACACTCCTCTGGGATCTCATGACCCTGCTTCCTCCCTGGCCTTTCACAGTTTATTTTCTTTCCACAGATGGAAAAGGAGGCAGCTATGCTCAGGCTTCATGCAAGTGTGGTAGGGGTGGGAAGAGTGATCCCTGAGATCCTTGTGATAGTGTAGACAGGAGCCCATGGGGGAGCTCACCACCCCAAAATTCCTCCTTTAGTCACATCATCTGTGGGCTCTGACCAGATTTTGTTTTTGTTCCACCCGAAACAGGGACAGTACCCAGGGCTCTGATGTGTCTCTCAAGGCTTGTAAAATGACAACTTAGGGGGCCTGAAGGGAAGGAGGAGTTGGGGCATAGGGGACACAACTAGGCTCTGGAGATTCTTTGATTTGGAATTTTTCAGGGTGTGGTGGGCTGTTCAGTGTCACAACTTACTATGACTGATCTGAATTTGTTCATGACTATTTTTTTTCTAAGACTGCCTTGTGAGGGACTGAGATGCAAGATTTGTTCATGCCTCCCCTTTGTGACTTCAAGGGCCTCTGTCTTCTCTTTCTGCCAAGGTGTCTGAATGTGTCTACATCCCTGGTATCATGTGAGAAGTGGGGAGACCAGCCCACCCTCATGTCCACCATGACCCCTGATATTGTTTGGATCTGTGTCTCCACCCAAATCTCATGTTCACTTGTAATCACTAAGGTTGGAGGTGGCACCTCAGGGAGGTGATTGGCTCATGAGGATGGATCCTTCATGAATAGTTTAGGACCATCTCTTTGGTGCTGTTCTTGTGATAGTTCTCACAACGTCTGGTGTTTAAAAGTGTGTGGTACCTCCCTGCTCTCTCTCCCTCCTACTCCAGGCTTGTAAGTCATGCCTACTTCCCCTTAACCTTCCAGCATGATTGAAAATTTCCTGAGGTCCTCTCATAAGTTGAGCAGATGCCAGAATCATACTTTCATATAGCCTGCAGAACCATGAGCCAATTTAAACCTTCTGTCTTTATAAATTACCCAGTCTCAGGTATTTCTTTATAACAGTTGAGAATGAATAATTCAGAAAATCGGTACCAGAAGTTGGGTACTGCAATAAACGTAGCTGAAAATGTGAAAATGTCTTTGGAACTGGGTAACAGGTAGAGGTTGGAAGAGTTTGGAGAGTTTAGAAGACAAGAAAATGGGGGAAAACTTGCAACTTCCTAGAGGTTTGTTAAATTGTTGTGACCAAAATGCTGATAGTGATATAGACAATAGAGCCCAGGCTGATGAGGTCTCAGATGGAGATGAGGAACTTACTGGGACCTAGAGAAAAGGTCACTTTTGTTATGCATTGGCAAAGAACTTGGAGGCATTCTGCCCCCTCCTTAGGGATCTGTGGAACTTTGAACATGAGGGTGATGATTAAGGGTATCTGATAGAAGAAATTTCTAAGCAGCATAGCATTCAAGATTTGGCTTCCTGTTGTAATAGTCTATGCACATATGTGTGAGCAAAAAAATGATCTGAAACTGGAACTGATATTTAAAGGGGAAATTTAATATCCAGGACAATTCCCAGTGGAGCTGCAGGAGCAGGACCCCTATCAGGACTACTAAATGGTGGAGCCACTGGCAATGTGCAAGCTCAGCTTGGAAAATCCATAGGTATTCAATTTTCACCCATGAGAGCAGCTATATGGGTTATGTTCAGCAAAGCCAAGGATGTGGGGCTGCAAATGGCATTGTGAGCCCACCACTTGAACCAGTGTGCTCAGGATTCAAGATATAGGGTCAAAGGAGATTATTTTAGAGCTTTAAATTTTAACATCTTCCATGATGAGTTTCAGCTTTGTGAGGACACTGCATTCATTTCTTTTGGCCCATTTATTCCTTTTAGAATGGAAATGTATAAGAAATGTCTCTTCCACTCTTGTATTAATATTTTAGAAGTAAATAACCTTTTTAAAACTTTACAGGCTCACAGCTATAGGGACTTACCTTGAGTCTCAGATGAGACTTTGGAATTTTGAGTTGATGCTGGAACAACCTAGCACATTTGGGACAATTGGGAAATTATCATATTTTGCAATGGGAGAAAAACATGAGCTCTGGCTGGCTAGGGACAGAATGTAATGATATAAATATTTACCCCCTGATACCTCATGTTAAAATCTGACCCCCAGTGTTGGACGTGGGGCCTAATGGGTGCTGTTTGGGTCATGGGGGCCAATCTTTTATGAATAAAGAGATCCTGTCCTCTCTCGCAAGTGAATGAATTGTTACTCTTTTAGTTTCCAAGAGAGCCAGTTGTTAAAAAGAGCCTGGCAACTTCCTAAGCTCTCTGTTCCTCTCTTACCGTGTGATCTCTGCACATACCAGCTCCCCTTTGCCTTCTGCCATGAGTGGGAGCAGCCTGAGGCCCTCACCAAATGCTCAAACATTTCCAGACATCAGAATCCCAAGCCACATGAACCTTGTTTATATAAATTAGTCAGTCTCTGACATTTCTTTATAGCAACACAAAATGGAATAAGACAGCGCTCTCATCACAGGTATGTGTCTCTGGCAGTCAGCCCCCATTCTCAAGATATCCAGGGTCCGCTCAGCCATGAGTCCTCTCATCAATATTCTAACTCTTATCACTCAAGAGATTCTAAGGTTTTTAGGAGAAACCAGGGACAAAGACTAAATGTTTTTGTTATACCTCAGATTACCCGCTTTTCTTTGACCACATATCTTTTATAGGAAAAGGATTATAAAAGTAAAGAGGTATTGGCGTATTATCAGAGTCTCATTCAGTCATTCAAAATTAGAACAGTTCACCATCCTCTCGTATGAATATGTCTCCCAGAATGAAGTCACTCAGGTTTGCAGACACCACTCAACCTTACCAGGCTCCAAAAACAAGAATGGTCTCAAGGACATATGGCTTCACTCTTTTAGGCACCCAGTATAATTGACCTAAGAGACAATATCTTCTCTTGCTCACAGCACTTTTGAGGAGTTAAGCTAATATTGAATTTTCCTCATTATATAACCCTTTGATTTAGTCACTTACCCTCAGCCATTATTCCTCCTTCTGTCCCTTTATATCAGTCTTTTCCAGTTTTAGAGGTGACATCAGGTTTGTCTGCTGTGCTGACCTAGACTGCAGGCAGCAATAGTATTCTAGCATGCCTTCCCTCGGTCTACTCTTGGTCATAGAGGGTAGGTTATGTAGGTAAGGAACTAGTGGGGGCCATCTGACCACCAGGCTATATAGCTCTATTTACTGTTAATCCTGACTTTGCCAGATGAAATGAAGGCATAGCACCATCTTTGAGTTGCTTGGGAATTCTTATATAAAGATGTAAATATATAGTTATGGTTTTTGGCTTAAAGATAATTCCTGTTTCTGGCACTTTGATTTTCATCCCTATTCCTGGTACCACTGCATCACATATGAAAAAAGAAATTTGAGGTGAAGCGTAGTCATTATTCCAGCATCCTCTCCCCTTCAGAAGAATTGTATGTATAGTCATAACAGCATCGTCCTGATCCATCAGGTAAAAGAGAGGAAGCTATCTAGAGGAGTCACTCTTGCAGCCCCACCCATGTGGACAGTGAGCACATTCATGAAGATGTAAAAGCCAGTCCTTCATGTTTATATTGCCCAACAACTATATTGCCAGTTTTTAGACAAACAATGCTTCAACTGACCATTTCAATTTTCTATCAAAGTTTTCTTCTGAGGAGGACATCTCCCTGTGCATTGTTAGCCATTTGAGGCTGTAAAGTGTGTTTTCTTGCGTAAAGAAATGGGACTCAGCAGTCCACATTGGTGCAATCTCTTTTTTTCTGGTGATTTCATAGCCCTTGAAGCATTGACCTCTTCCCCTGGTTGAGCATAGCCCAATCCAGAGTCAGTGACTTTCCTGTCAAGATCCCTTGGCAGCTCCTTTGGGGTTGCTGCCATCAGTCTGGCTTGCCAGCCATGTATGATCAAAGCCTTCCCACTAGAGAATCACATAGCCATCTGCTGCCTCTGTCTGTTTTCTTGACCAACAGTCAAAACAGAGATGATAAGAAATGAGATAAATTACCAAAATTGTGAACAAAAGAGAGATTATCACTAGTGACCCTTTAGAAATTCAAAAGCATTATAAGTGAAGACTCTGAAAAACCTGAAGTCAATAAGTTAGACCACTTAGATAAAATGGACAGATTCATACAAAGATAGAAATTGCCAAAACTGACTCAAAAATAACTAGAAAACCTGAAATAAGGAAAAACAAAAAATAATAATGTATTGCTTGCTGTTTTATCTGGCCTAAAAAGCCCATTTGTCAGCCTTCAGTCCTTTGGCCTAAGTTTAGCTCAAATAAGGACTGTATATGCCAAGCTTTAATTCTCTATGTGAATGATAAAACCCCATCTTCACAAGAGGAGATGGGTTATGCTGTTTGTTGGATTAGTGAATTAAGCCCCGTGTTCCCCCTTAAAGAGAAATAAAAAGAGCATAGTAAAGAGCCCTCACCCAGTGAAAAGCCCTGGGATCCCCTAACACGCTTGCCCTACACCCTATACATCTCACAAAGTAGAGGACAGGGAGATCAGGGGGCAAAAGGAAGGTCAGAGGAAAAGGATTTGGGAGGTCATGAAGGAGCTAAACCCAATGCTCCCTTAAATCCTTATCCAAACTTGAGGAAAGAATTAGAACAATGTAAGGAAGGACAAACCTGATAAAAACAAGCAATGGGGAAAGGATTCCCGATTTAATAAATGGTGTTGGGAAAACTGGCTAGCCATATGCAGAAAACTGAAACTGGACCCCCTCCTTACACCTTATACAAAAATCAACTCAAGATGGATTAAAGACTTAAACATAAGACCTAAAACTGTAAAAACCCTAGAAGAAAACCTAGGCAATACCATTCAGGACCTAGGCATGGGCGAAGACTTCATGACTAAAACACAAAAAGCAATGGCAACGAAAGCCAGAATTGACTAATGGGATCTAATTAAACTCAAGAGCTTCTGCACAGCAAAAGAAACTATCATCAGAGTGAACAGGCCACCTATGGAATGGGAGAAAATTTTTGCAATCTGTCCATCTGACAAAGGGCTAATATCCAGAATCTACAAAGAACTTAATTTACATGAAAAAAACAAACAACTCCATCAAAAAGTGGGCGACGGATATGAAAAGACACTTCTCAAAAGAAGACATTTATGTAGTCAACAAACATATGAAAAAAGGCCCATAGTCACTTATCATTAGAGAAATGCAAATCAAAACCACAATGAGATACCATCTCACACCAATTAGAATGGCGATCATTAAAAAGTCAGGAAACAACAGATGCTGGAGAGGATGTGGAGAAATAGGAACGCTTTTACACTGTTGGTCGGAGTGTAAATTAGTTCAACCATCGTGGAAGATAATGTGGCAATTCCTCAAGGATCTAGAACCAGAAATACCATTTGACCCAGCAATCCCACAATCCCACTACTGGATATATACCCAAAGGATTATAAACATTTTACTATAAAGATACATACACACATATGTTTATTGCGGCACTGTTCACAATAGCAAAGACTTGGAACCAATCCAAATGCCCATCAATGATAGACTGAATAAAGAAAATGTGGCACATATACACCATGGAATACTATGCAGCCATAAAAAGGATGAGTTCATGTCCTTTGCAGGGACATGGATGAAGCTGGAAACCATCATTCTCAGGAAACCATCAGCTACGTGTTCTCTGGGTCTCTCAGAGAAAGACCCACAAGAACAGAAAACCAAACACTGCATGTTCTCACTCAAATGGGAGTTGAACAATGAGAACACATGGACACAGGGAGGGGAACATCACACACTGGGGCCTGTCTGAGGGTAGGGGGCTAGGGGAGGGATAGCATTAGGAGAAATACCTAATGTAGATGATGAGTTGATGGGTGCAGCAAACCACCATGGCACATGTATACCTATGTAACAAACCTGCATGTTCTGCACGTGTATCCCAGAGTTTAAAGTATAATAATGTTAATAATAATAAATTGGATTTGTAAGTGTGCCTTTAACAAGTACTGAGGTTAGGAATTTTAAAAAGGAAATGAGGCCACTCTCGGAAGATCCCCTCAGTTTAGCAGAACAGCTAGATCAATTTTTAGAACCTAATTTTTATACTTGGGCTGAGATAATTCAATCATGAATATTCTGTTTACTGGGAAAAAGACGGGAATAATTAGAAGGGCAGCCATAATCATTTGGGAGAGACAGCAGCATCCTCCTGGGTAATGAGTCCTGCCAGCTAAGCAGAAATTCCCAAATGCAGATCCTGGATGGGATAATAATGACCCCAGGGATCGGGTCCAAATGCAAGACCATAGGGAGCTAATAATTAGAGGGATTATGCAGTCCACTCATAGGACACAAAACGTCCCCAAAGCATTCAAGATCCAACAACAAGAAGAGGAGACTCCCTCTGCATTTCTGCAGAGGCTCAGGGATCAAGTGAAAAAATATTCAGGATTAAATCCAGAGGACCCAGTAGGGCAAGGCCTTTTAAAGGTTAATTTTGTAACTAAAAGCTGATGTAATATTACTAAGAAACTGCAAAAGATTAACGGATGGAATAAAAAACCAATTAAGGAAATACTGAGGGAAGCTCAGAAAGTTTGTGTGTGTGTGTGAGAGAAAGAGAGAGAGAGAGAGTTAAGCTGCTATACCTGAAGGAAGAGAGAGCCAGCGGCACAGCTGTGTGTGGCAGCTGGCTTCTAAAAGCTGTTGATAAAGGTTACTGCTGAGTCATTTCCGCAGAGCTGCCTGTTTTTGCAGACAGACAAGGGGAGCCAGGGCACAGCACGGCTCGGCTCATGCCCAGAGAAAGAGGAAGAAGCTGAGTGTGAGACAGAAAGGAAATGGGATGACAGAGAGAGAATAGAAGAGGAAAATTAGCAAGAGAGACTAAAAGAGACAGAGATCAAAGAGAAACACAGAAGGTAAAACTGGGGAGACAAATAATGTAAAAGGAAAAAAGAGTACAAGACAAAGTGAGAGAATGCTGAGAGGTTGGCAGGGCTGGGGGAAGTTTCTGGGGACTTAAGCAACAAGGAGGTGCAGGGGAAGGGTGCATGCAGTGCGTGGCCACTGAGGAACGACAAAACCCGGGAACTGGGGGATGGATGCAAGTGAGAAAGGGATGTGGAGGAGAGTTTAGGATCAGGCTGCTTGAGGTGTAACGGGTTGCCTACAGCAAAAACTAGATGGCTGTTTATCAGGAGGTGGTCAAAAGGATTCAAGTTATGGAAGAGTAAATGAATAAGATAACATTAAGGTTTTGTTGTTTTAGTGAGAGGCTGGAAGGCCACCAGGGGCAGTTAGCTGTCAGTAAGGCAGCAGAAGGGCTGGGGTCGCTACATAAGGAAAATCAGTACTAGGGTTGTAAACTCAAATGACTACAGGGCCAGCAAATAATAAAAAGGAGGGCTGCAGGGCTGGGTGGGAACTGTGGCGGCTGCTCAGCTCTTCTTACAGTGCTGGCACTGTGTTGCCAGATTGTCTGCTTTGTCAGAGGACAAAATTCTGACTTTTTATGTAAAATATAATTTTAAAATGCTGATATTCTGTTCAAATAACTTAAAAACCCAAAACAGGCAAAAGAGGATGCCAGTTTGCAATCCCTGAAGTAGAGAGAGCTCGTGCTGGGGAAAAGTCTGCCAAAATGCTTTAAGGTGGAATGTGTAAAAGTTCTGTTTCCCAGAGTCGGGCTGGGCCAGGGGAGGATCCTTGCAGCCCAGGAGGAGGAAAAGCCACTAAGTCCCCTCCCAGGGCTGGACAAACTGGAGACCCTTTACAGTTGCTGGGTCACCAGTGGGGGTTGCTTGAAACACAAACAGTGCACCTCTAGGCCTGCCACGGAGAGGAACGGTGCCTTTGAAGCACAAAAAAAAAAAAAAAACAGGAAGGGAGGGCGGAGCCAGAAATGCCTTTTCTAATGAGAGTACCCATCAGGGAAGGCTCCATAGGCTGGCAGATCTTCAAACCAGCAGCTCTTGGCCCAAAGCCAAACCCAGCAGGGCCCGGCCAAGGGCACTCTGGGATGCCAGCTGGTCAGTCCCTTGCCTCCCCAAGTTCCTCCTGGGGTCAATGGGCCCTCGGGAGGTGACTAAACTAACACCAGCCAGTTTCTTATGAAAAGGAGAGGAGAATAAGAAGGCGTCAGAGTATAACTGTTTAGATATCACAGAGTATCAAACTAAAGTTAGTACCAAACCTTAAAGGAACTCTACTACATAATGGGATGAGGTTGTTTATGAATGGGTCATCCTGAGTAATAAATGGTAAAAGACACAATGGCTGTGCTGTCATGAACAAAAACAAACAATCCTTATGTGAAAAAGTTAAATTACTCAATAACTGGTCAGCCCAAACCTGTAAATTTTATGCTTTTAACCAGACCCTAAAGCTCCTAGAAGATCAAGAAGACACTATATATACTAATTCCAAATATGCCTATAAAGTAGTACACACCTTTGAAAAAATCTGGACAGAGCAGGGCCTAGAAAATAGCAGGGCAAAATAATTGGTACATGGGGAACAAGTTTTAGAAAGCCTCCTGTTTCCAGCAGAGACAGCCATAGTTCATGTAAATGGCCATCAGAAAAGAAACACTATAGAAGCTGTAGGGAACAGGCTTGTGGATAAGGCTGCTAAGCAAGTCTCCCTGGAGGAAAAATTTAAACTGTTTAGCCCAGATATCCCTAAGGTGATATTAAAACCCCAATTTTCAAAAGAGGAGGAAAAGCTAGGCAAGATAGGAGCCACTTAAACTAAGAATGGAAGGTGAGTGCTCCCTGATGGGAGAGAAATAATAAACAAACCCATAATAAAAAATCTAATGTTGGCCGGGTGCGGTGGCTCATGCCTGTAATCCCAGCACTTTGGGAGGCGGAGGCGGGTAGATCACAAGGTCAGGAGATCAAAACCATCCTGGCTAACACAGTGAAACCCTGTCTCTACTAAAAATACAAAAAAGTAGCCGGGGCGTGGTGGTGGGTGCCTGTAGTTCCAGCTACTCGGGAGGCTGAGGCAGGAGAATGGCATGAACCCAAGAGGTGGAGCTTGCAGTGAGCCGAGATCGTGCCACTGCACTCCAGCCTGGGTGACAGAGCGAGATTCTGTCTAAAAAAAGAAAAAAAATCTAATGTCTATATTGCATAAGGGAAGTCATTGGGGTCCCCAGGACATGTATGATGAAATACTAAAGAATTATGGGTGTATAGAAATGTATGCCCTGGCTAAACAAGTGTGTGGGAATTGTGTGAACTCCCAGGAAACAACTTAAGGTTAAAAGAACTTGTAACACAAACCCCACCCCTTGAGTTCACAGTTCACCACTTCCAGCTTGGCAACTCAGTGCTAATTAAGACTTGGAAAGAAGACAAGCTCCACCCAAGCTGGGAAGGTCCCTATCAAGTGAGGCAGCTGTACAAACAGCTGATCAGGGGTGGACACATTACACTCGGGTCAAGAAACTGGTTAAAAAAAAAAAAACGGAAGGTAAATTGGAAGTGTATAGATCACCTAAGAAACCCTTTAAGCTAATTCTAAGGAAAACCTAAAAGTAAGCCATAAGCAGGCTCCATCACTGGGGGCTGATATGGTTAGAATTAATCCTAACACAAGGGGTGAAAGGAAACCTAAGTATTGTATAAGAACCACACGCCACCTAACTGTAAAAATTTAAAGTGCAATCCTATATTAATTACTATAAACAACCCAGCTACTCTAAACCAGAAATCTTGAAGGTATAAATTAAAAATAAATATCTCAGAAAGGAATCCCGTGGGACAGTTAGCTTTTAGGTTAGTCACCAACTCTACCCCAAGCCCACCCAGAATTACTAGAACTCCTGGTCCCATTAACTTCCTTTAACCCACCAAACAATAAACCTAAGAGAGTAAAAATAATTAAAGTAACTGACTTAAGGCAGACTTTAAAAATTAAAACAGGATATAGAGACATAAATGCCTGTGTTAAATGGGTGAAATTTTCAGCACAAGCCCTCGATAAAAGTAACTGTTATGCATGTGCTGCTGGTCAACCTCAGGCACAGGTGGTTCCATTTCCCCTTGGATGGGATACTAATCCCAAAGGAATGTGTTGCGTGTTGGCTGTATACCAAGACAAGGTTGCATGGGGAAATAAGACTTGTAAAAGTCTGTCATTGCTCTTTCCCACTTTGCAGAGATCAGATCCTAAAGCAATCCCCTCATTCTCTATAGGGAATATAAATCACTCCTGTTGTCACTCTAGACAGAAGGTGAGGTTCGATAAACCTGTGGGAAAACTCGCAACCTGCACCCACATCCTAAATGTCACTGGTAACCCAGACTGTGGCAACCATTCAACTCTCCATATACCCCAGGCAAATGTCTGGTGGTATTTCGGGAAAGGGAACCTCCGTAACTTGTTACCGTCCAATTGGACCGGGACTTGTGCTTTAGTACAATTGGCCATTCCGTTCACCCTGTCATTCCATGAAACAGCTAAAAATACACATGGTCATAGAGATCAGAGTAATTTAGCAATTTATTTTAACCCATATATAATGTGTGTGTGTGTATATATATATATATATACACACACACACAAACATATACATATACATATATATACACACACATATATATACACACACACACACATATATATATATATACACACACACATACACACAAGGCTTCTGGAACAGTGGATGAAAGCTTTGTATATCTATCTATCCATCTATCTATCTATTTATCTATCTAAACTCCATAGGAGTACCTAGAGGAGTGCCTAATAAATTTAAAGCACGAAACCAAATACCTGCTAGATTTGAGTCAGCACTTTTCTGGTGGTCAACTATTAACAAGAATGTAAATTAGATTAATTACATGTCTTATAATCAGCAAAGATTCATCAATTACACGCAAAATGCCCTTAAGGGAGTAGCCAGACAACTAAATGCCACTAGCTAAATGGCTTGGGAAAACAGAATTACACTGGACATAATATTAGCAGAGAAAGGTGATATATGTGATATGCTGGGTGGAAAATGTGACACTTCCATTCACAACAATGCTGCCCCAAATGGAACCATCATAAAGGGATGGCAGGGACTAACAACTCTAGTCAACGAGCTGGCAGAAAACACAGGAGTAAATGACCTTTTTACTAACTGGTTAGAAGGTTGGTTTGAAAAATGGAAAGGAATGGTACCTTCAGTTCTTACATCTCTCGTGATTATGGCTGGGGTCTTAACAGCCATAGGATGTTGTATCATACCTTGTGTGAAGGGTTTATTTAACACAAAGGTTAATTAAAGCAGCTATTAGTAAACAAATGCCCCTAATGTCCCAACAGAATGACTTACTATTATTAAAAGCCAAACTAAACTTCTCCTCCTATAATGAAGAAAGTAAAAAACTTCCAGAACAGTTAATAAACAAAGATATGTAAGTGAAAATAAGACCAAAAAGGGTAAAAAGAAAAAGAGGA
Organism: Homo sapiens; assembly: GCF_000001405.40. NCBI lineage: Eukaryota > Metazoa > Chordata > Mammalia > Primates > Hominidae > Homo > Homo sapiens. Next base: position 1,225,300 of record NT_167245.2, read on the forward strand.
GGTAAGTGTAAAAAATAACCTACATGTGAAGAAGGTTCATTTTCATAAGTGCCTTAGAATATGTTTAAGCAGGCCACATGGAAACAAAGAGATAAAGAAGCAAAATATACTAAGCCACAATCCCCTCCTTCCTGCTTTCCCTTTGACCCAGTGTCCAGGAGCCTACTGGTCAGGGCCCCCTCAATGACCCCCCTCCCCACCTCATCAAAGAATTTAGTTTGGGCTAGCTTGCCATCACCTAAGTGCAGTCACTAGGGCCATAAGTCAAATGCTCAGAGTCTTGAGACAGTCGCCATGTATTATGGGTGGCTGCAACAAAATGCAGCAAAAAATGCAGCAAAAAGACCCTAAAGAACATACTTGAAGTCTTAATACAACTACCAATAGGCGATGCCCAGGAAGACTATAACCCCGTAGTACTCAGCTAATGAGGAATTGGGGGAGGGACTTGCACACTAGGGAAGAAATAGTTTGTTGAAACTGTCCCAGGTGTACCTGCACTCCAGACACCTGATCTTGCAAGACTGTCATTAAAAGTCTCTCTTTCGCTGTTCTCTGGGTCTCTGAGTCTATTCTTTGGGTTTGAATGGGTGAGTTTCTTTCTCACAGGGATGTAGATGGCAACGTGGCTCTCATTCCCCTCCCAAATACCCCAACTTTCATCGCCTGTTCCAGAAGCCTTGTCACCTACAAGCCTATCTGCACAGAAGGTATGAGGGGACACTACAGCCCAGACAGGGACCCTCCCATCTCTAGCAACTGTCCCCTTTTCTCACCTGGACCCTCTGCACCTGATGTTGTCTTCTTCTTGCATCAAAGGACACAGAGAATAATAATACTACTAATAATACTAATGATGATGAAAGCAGCAACAGCAGCAACATATGGAATGGCTGGTCATCAACTCTGAAGCACCAGGGCCATCCCTGAAAAAAATGGCCTGTTACACACTGGGCACCCACAGCCACAGCCGTTCCTGCTGCCCCCACCCTGGCCTGATCCTCCTTATGTTGGAACCCTCAAGGGTGGTCCCAGTTTCACTAGAGGACACAGGGTGAGTGCTGTGATTCCTGCTGTATCCCATGGAGCAGATGACCCTCTGCTCCTCTCCTTGGGGAATCCTGCAGGCCACCTCTGTCTGGTAGGTCCCATCCCATTGGACAGAACACCCCAAGACTGCCGGGCATCCTGGCTCAAAGACGCCCCATCCTGTCACCAGGTCAGAGAGATATTCTGGAGATACAAGCCAGAGCCCAGCATATCAGGGTGATGTTGCCCTCCAGGGCCTCACTGCAGGCCACACTCATGGTGGAGGAGGGGGGGACTGGAGAAGAAAGGGCAGAGACAATGAGGCACATGGCCAAACCCTGCTCCCCTCTAATGGAGATGCAGGGAACAGGGCTGGTCCGCTCCACTGCTCCGACTCTGGCAGAAGTCCTCACGGACCCCAGACCTTCTGCAAGTCTGTCCTCACCCTGGGGACCAATTCCTCAAGGCTGGCAGAAGGATGGGCCTCGAGACTGTGTCTTTATGCTCTGGGATCCCTGCATTGATGCTGAGGAGGGGAATGTCAGGGGTGGGCTCCTGGTACATGGGGCCAGAGGGAACTCTTTGGGATGGGCAGGCTGGGAAGCAGATGGGGCAGCCTTGGCCCTGGGGGCTTCCTCTCCTGCCTGACACCCACCCGGTTCAGGCTTCTGTCAGAGGGCCCCCTGCTTCCCCAGATTGTGACACTGGACCCTTCAATCCCTGACCCATTGTCTTTTTCCAGTGGCTCTAACAGGAGAGAAAAATCAGGATATAACACACCAACAGAAAACACATGCATCCATAGCACAAGGAGGGTTTCCCTGGACAGAGTTGGGGGTCGGGGTGACTCTAGTGGAATAGGGGAGAGGAAAGCCCCTACCCAGGCCCAGTACCTGCTCTCCTGACACCCACACAGGTTTCCAGATACTGCTGTAGTTTCTGCCTGCAGTCTACCCATATAGGGTGAGAGTGTGTCTCAGCCGGCATAGCATCTTCCTTCTAGAAATTTGTGATGTTCATAGCAAAGGTCTGAGTTCTGGAGGACTGGGATACTGTCCATTCCTGAGTCTCCAGGTTGAGAGAGAGGAAGAGCTACCCATAAGAGTAGGAATGCCTAGAGCCCCTGGTGCTGCTGGCTTCCTGATCTCACAACCCCTAATCTCCTGGAGGGAATGCAAGGCTACCCCCACCCAGCAGTTCCAAGTGAGGAACTCAGACCAGAGGAGACCCCTCCCTGGCCCTCCTCCATGCCTTTCTGTGTGGGCTGAGTGCCAGGTTACCTCCCCGCTGAGCTCTGCTGACCCCTATTCCTCACCCCTACCCCCAGCCAGATCCAGTGGGGACAGACAGGTCCCTGCTCTCTGCCCCCAGCTCTCCTGGAAAAGGCCTCCCATCACTCTTGCCTGCTGCCAACTCTCACCTCCCTTCTGTCCCTTGATATATGCCAGGGCCCTTCTGAGGTCCTGCCCATTCTCTGTCAAGTCCTCAGTCTCTGTGTCCCAGGTCTCAGCTCCCAGAACTGCTTCTGCCCACTGTCCCCGGGACCCAGCCCTGCCTTTCTGCCTGTTGAAGAGCAGGAAGGGCTGACCATCCAGATGTCCCTCAGCAAGAAACCCTGACTGCACAGATCCATCCCAGGACAGCACCGTGAGGTTGTAATGAAGACTGTGGGGCCCTGGGGAACAAGAAACCACAGATGAAACTTCTTCCTGGAAGTAACTTCACATTGATGTTTAACACACAGGTCTGCTGTCTCAACCTTTCTGAGGAGGCAGGAAATGTACATATGCAAAGGGACAAGAATGAGGATTTCAGATACAAGGAAAACTGGGAGGGCAGGAGGATGGAGGAGCAGACTGAGGAACAGAAGAAGGGGGAATGGAGATGGCAAACATGTAGGCCAGCTGCCAAGGCAGGGTGGCCACAGGCCACCTAAGGGTATAGGGAGGAGGCCAAGGAGAGAGGCTGCCCTGCAGTGGTGAGGGAGGAGCACGAAGGCAGTGGTGGAAGGAAGGTCTTGCCAGAGGGGAGGGTGGAAATGGGAAGGGACCCAGGCTCAGAGGGACCCATGACCAGCATGGCTGTGCTACACAGGTGAGGGTGAGATGGAGTCACGGGCCGCTGCCTTTGAGGAAGGCTCATCATGTACAAGATGGGAGTAAGGGAGGATCAGTGCATCTTTTCAAGAAACAGTGCCAGGAAAACGACATTCACATGCAAAAAGAAATGAAGTTGGACTCCTGACTTATACCACATATACAAGTTAACTCTAAATAAATCAAAGACCTACACTCAGGAACTAAAACTGAAAAATTCTTAGAATGAAACATTGGGAATAATCTTCATGACATAGGTTTTGACAACACTTTTATGGATATAACACCAAAGCACAGACAACAAAGAAAAAATTGATAAGTTGGACCCATCAAAATAAAAAAAATTGAGCATTAAAAAACACAATCTGCAGAGTGAAAAAGCAACCATTAGAATGGAAGAAAATATTTGCAAATCATTTATCTAATAAAAGATTAATATCCAGAATACATAAAGAATTCCTGTAACACAAACATAAGACTCAAAAAAACTATGTAGGCAAAGAATTTGAATAGCCAATTCTCTGAAGAAGACATACAAATGGCCAATAGACACATGAAAAGATGCTCAACATCTGTAGTTATTAGGGAAATGCAAATCAAAACTGCAATGGGCTACTACTTCACACCAATTAGGATGGCTATAATCAAACACACACACACACACACGCACACACACAGAGAGAGAGAAAAAGCAAGTTTGGCAAAGAGGTAGAGAAACTGGAACGTTTGTGTAGTACATTGGGAAAGACAAAGTGGGGCACCTGCTATGGAAATCAGTGTGTTGCTTCCTCCAAAAACTAAAAAATTAATTACTATGTAATCCAGAAATTCTACATCTGGGTATTTACCCAAAAGAAATGAAAGCAGGAACATTAAAAAGATATTTGAACACTCATGTTCATAGCAGCATAATTCCCAATAGCCAAATTCATAGAGACAGAGAGTAGAACCAGTGGTTCCAGCGGCCAGGGGGAAGGAGGAATGGGGAGCTACTGTTTAGTAGGCACAGAGTTTCAGGATGCACAAAAATGTGAATGTACTTAATGCCACTGAACTGTACACTTTTAAATGGTGAAAATAGTGAACTTTATATGTATATTTTACGACAATTAAACAACAAAAAAGAAATTGTCACAGTGTACCAAACAATAATATAGAATTAGAAAGAGGCTGGGGTCCTGTTCAGAGAGAAAAAAACCAAGGCCTGAGGAAGGGCCTTCAGAGAGGAGTGGTGCTGAAGGCGGAGCAGTCACACTCCAAAAGAGGGCTCAGGTTAGAAAACCCTCACAGGAGGAAGGTGGTGCTGGGAGAAGGCCCAGAGGAGGGGATGACCACAGCCCACTATGTGGTAAGTGAAGATTTTGGATATGAAGTCTAGGAACTGACAGCCCACCGGGGTCAAGGAACCGAAAGAGGATGAGGGTCAAGGAGCCGTTGGACTAGAGCCTGTTTTGGGTCTGGGTGGGGGTGAGGAGATGGGCAGGGCAAGGACTAAAGGGTGGCATGAGAAGGAAGGGGGGGTGACCCTGGGAGAACTTGGGGTAAAGTGAGAACAGGAAGGGAGGGGTTGTCTGGGGGAGGGTGGGGTTTGGGGAAGGTGAGAACTTGCTGAGGGCCCAAGGCAGCTGGTCAAGAGGTGGGAACAGCATAAGGTCCCAAGGCAGAGAGGGGCAGAGGGACCAGGGAGGGATGGTCCAGCACCTGAGGGTTTCAGGGTGGGGTCCTCAAGAGGGTGAGGCTGAGGATGAAGGAGTGGGGAACGGGTCACCTGAGGCAGGGCCCAGAGCAGGCATCTGCACTGGAGGGGAGGGGGCATCTGCGCTGCCCTGCGCCCTGCCTAAGGCCCAACTTTCATTAGCACCAGGGCTCCCCTTAAGTGGCCTGGAGGGGAGTGGGATGGAGGGAAGACTCCCCTGACAAAAGGCAGCACCAGAAAGTTAGGGTCAGGGACAGCTGGGAATGGAGAGGCATAGGGGCAGCACTGGGTGAAGGCTGCTTATAGGAAAGGCCCATAAGGGAGGCAGGAGGGACGGGAGCAGGGGATGAGGGCAGAGGACACCCTACAAATGGATCAGAGAACTGCAGATAGAAAGGGGTAGCAGGGAGCAGGGAGGGCAACAGGACCCAGGGGGCCATGAGAAAGGAAGCTGAGGAAGTAGGAGGGAACTTGGTGTCCTTAGATCATTGGAGTCCACAGTAGCTGGGAGGGTTGACAGAGAGGAAAGAACCCTGGGAACGGGAGGCGAAGGGATAATGAGCTGGGGATGGGAGCAGTCGCAGGAAGAATCCTCTGCCTGGAGCCGGCAGGCTCCAACCCCTCAGCTTGAGAGTCAGGAGCCCCATAGTCCCCACAGCAATAGGAAGCACCAGCTCCTGGTCCCGAAAAAAGGAGGGCCCCAACTCCAGGGACTGCGGCCCGCCCTGGAGCTGAGAACACGCGGACTCCAGGGAGAGGACAGGGCTTCAGGGACCCGAGAGCCGCTCTGAGCACCGGGGGATGTGACTGCCTCAGCGGCAGAGCTGGAAGGGCCCTCGAATGCCATTCACAGGAACAGCCCAGGAACCCAGGGACTTCAGAAGGGCTGGTTTGTCCGAAAAGTGAGAGGAGGCGGAGGAGAGGTGAGGAGAGCAAGTGCAAGAAGAGACCAGAAAGTGCAGGGGGCGGGTGATGCGCGATCCCGAGGAGGACTGAAAAGAGACTGAAAAGCAGGGCTGAGGAGTGGCGGCAACCGGCAGCGTCCAGCTCCCGCACCTCGCTGCACATCGCACCTGAGCCCCGCCGCGACCGCATCGCGCTCGCTGCGACCCATTCGGACCCCCCAGAAACGCCAAGCCGCTCCCGCTCTAGCCGAGGGCTAGAACAATCCTGCCACCTCAGCCTCCTGAGTAGTTGGGACTACAAGCGAGTGCCACCACGTCCAGCTGTCATTTACCATCTGGTACCAACCCCCATTAGACAATGAACCATCCATGATCACGAACTGTGTCCCTTCCATCTTCGTCAGCTTTACGAGCATTTTTTTTTCCAATGGAACTCTACCTATGATTACTAACCATTCCCCAGGACCCCTAGCCTACACTTTTCTGTAGATGAAAATGTCATACACCACAGAGTTTTAACAATTACTTAGTTTTCCCATCCACATTCACTGATTATTTATTTCGAGCATTATCATTTATTGAGCACAACAGGGACTGGGGTCTTGTCCCCACCTTAGAGGGATTATTTACACTGCTAAAGGTCACAAGGGTAGTGAGGGGCAGAGAGGAAGATGGACCCAGCTCTCCTGACACTGGTCCCAAGCTCTTCCCTCCACAGTGTCTACACTCTCTCGAGGACTTTTTCTCCCTGTGCCAGTTCCAGCAAAGGATCTCATTCAGCTCACCCCCAAGAAGACTTTTAATACTTCAATGACGATGATACTAATAATAATAATATGCAAAGTTTGTTCCAACGCATTTAGAGGTGATCGCGACAAGACATGAAGCCAATCCCTCCCTTTCTGGGGTAGGGGAGGCAGTGATGATCTTGGACTTTGGATGAGTCGCTCCCCAGGGTCTAGGCCTGGCTGCCCCTCCCCAACCAAATCTCCCAGGTCTTTTCTGTCCAAAGCCCTCCCCCTCTACCCTACCTCCAGCTCCTTCTGCTCTGAGCCATCAACTACGTTTTCTCCCTCAGCACTCGCCTTAGATTCCTGGACTTACCAGCACAAAGGTGATTTTCTCCTCGCAGACTGTAGGCGCCACTGCTGGGTCCGGAAAAGAAAGAGAAAAGGCCCAGCGCGGTCGCGTGTGTAACTCAGGACGCGGCTGCGCTGGGCGCCCGAGCGCGTTCTCAGGACTGCGGCCCGGAGTTCACTGCGAGGACGGGGATCACCCATCATCCCGCCCTGGTCTACGGAAAATGACAAGTGTTTACTGATATAGAAACGGAATAACGGCGCTGTGGGCTGGGGAGGGCCGAGCTGCCTTCAGGCTTCTGGTCTCCAGCTGCGCGGCACTCACACCTGCCGCTGTGAAAATGCAGACCCGCGGGGCAGGAATTCCGAGTCCGGGCTGGAGCGCGATCTGGAATCTGACTCGCTTGAAACAGCACCGCGGTGGATTCGGAGCCGGGTGAGCAGGGAACTGCGCCTCAGCCCCTCCCACGGGCCGCCCACTGATTCCAGGATCCGAAAACGCTTCCAGCTGCTCCGTCACCCCAGGAAGGCAGCGCCGGCCTCTGGGCGGTTCTGGTGGAAACGGGCTCCGCCGCCCGCAGGAAAACTCACAACTAAGGGACCAGGAAAAAGCCTCTCAGGGTCGCGCGCCTTCAGTGAGGATCCTAATTTACACCCCGAGTGTGGCCCCGTCAAAGACTAGAGCGAAGGTCACTGAAATGACACAAGATCAGCGAGGCCCAGGGCGCTGCCGCTCACAGAATGCGGAGACACGGCTGCCTCGCGTCCCTTCCCTGACCTGCCCCAGGCGGACGCGGTGACGTGTGTTTGCCTCGAGGCTGGAATACATGGGGATCAAATGCAGAGAATGGAGAAAGGAGGGAAGGATGGGGGGACATTTCGAGGAAAGGAAGGGAGAGGGAGAAAAGGGGAGAGAAAAGGTGAAGGTGAGAATAATATCTGAAAGATGTAGTTTTATTATTTCTAATTTTATTTTTGCCCTTTATCTAGTTTTGTTATTTATGAACATTTTTACCAAAGCTTTTTTTTCTCTGTGTGTGAATCTGTAAATATACGGCTTATTATTCTTATTTCAGAGCCTGCGAGGTCAAGCTGCAGAGAACATGAGCTTCTACCTCCAGATGTGCCAGGGTGCATCTCGTGGGTGCAAGAACAAGGGTTTTGTTTTGTTTTACAAAATCAAAGTACAAATCTCAAATAGAATAATATTTTTAAACCATTATTGGGACATACTTTGCACACAATCAGTGTATCTATTTGAAATGCACAGCTCATTGAGTTGTACTGCTTGGCTGTTTTACACACCCACATATCCACTACCACAATGAAGATAAAGAAATAACATTTCCATAGTCCCCTAAAGAATAGCCACGCGATAAAATTCCACGCAGTCCTTAAAAAGAGGAGGATAAATTTGTAAGTATTGTTATGAGAAGATCTGTGCCCAGCCTACTTTTATCCATTTTTAAAAGGACGAGGATATATGGAATTATAATACCAGTAATACCACTTACATAATATATATTTTAAGTAGGGGAAAACATGGAGGATTATTCCCCAAAATTTTGACAGGGACCCCAGGGACTGGGATAACGTTGTGACTTTCACCTTCTCTGAAATGTTGGAATTTTATATTACAGAATAAACTTGGATTTTGGCCAGGCGCGGTGGCTCAGGCCTGTAATCCCAGCTCTGGAAGCTGAAGGATAGCTTGAGCCCAGGAGTTCGAGGCTGCAGTGAGCTATGATCTCACCACTACACTCCAGCCTGGGTGACAGCAAGAGATCTTGTCTCAGAAATAAATAAATAAAATTTAAAAATAAAAATAATAAACTTGGATTTGTGTGGTGGTTAAGAAAAAATATTTGTTTGAAAATATTATAAAGATAAGCCACACACCCAAATAGTTACAGGATTTTAAAAACCAAAGTGTTAATTAAAACCCAACTCCAGAAACTCTCTTTTAAGGGGGCTTCATATTTTCATGTCATTAAATCTTTCTCAAAGTATCTTTGATAGAGCCGTTTTTAGTGCAGTAGAGAGATGTGTAACAATTTTACAAAAGGGGCGGGCTGTAATAAAAAGGGAAAGGCAAAATCCAGTGTGGACACACTGTCCCATTTATTTTCAAAGCACGTTTGAAAACTGCGCTGCTATAGCGTCTTTGGGTTGAGACAAAGTCGAGGAAAATCTTGTTCCTGGAGTACTGATTTCCTTTTTCCCAGGGCCAAAGTCTAAAACTCAGAAGCAAGTCTAAAAACTCAGGCTGACTTTCAGATCTGAAGAAATCTCAAGAATATTTGTGTGGAAGAACATTCCATGCTAATGGGTAGGAAGAATCAATATCGTGAAAATGGCCATACTGCCCAAGCTAATTTATAGATTCAATGCCATCCCCATCAAGCTACCAATGACTTTCTTCACAGAATTGGAAAAAACTACTTTAAAGTTCATATGGAACCAAAAAAGAGCCTGCATCACCAAGTCAATCCTAAGCCAAAAGAACAAAGCTGGAGGCATCACGTTACCTGACTTCAAACTATACTACAAGGCTACAATAACCAAAAGAGCATGGTACTGGTACCAAAACAGAGATATAGATCAGTGGAACAGAACAGAGCCCTCAGAAATAACACCACATATCTACAACTATCTGATCTTTGACAAACCTGAGAAAAACAAGCAATGGGGAAAGGATTCCCTATTTAATAAATGGTGCTGGGAAAACTGGCTATCCCTATGTAGAAAGCTGAAACTGGATCCCTTCCTTACATGTTATACAAAAATTAATTCAAGATGGATTAAAGACTTAAACGTCAGACCTAAAACCATAAAAACCCTAGAAGAAAACCTAGGCATTACCATTCAGGACATAGGCATGGGCAAGGACTTCATGTCTAAAACACCAAAAGCAATGGCAACAAAAGCCAAAATTGACAAATGGGATCTAATTAAACTAAAGAGCTTCTGCACAGCAAAAGAAACTACCATCAGGGTGAACAGGCAACCTACAACATGGGAGAAAATTTTTGCAATCTACTCATCTGACAAAGGGCTAATATCCAGAATCTACAATGAACTCCAACAAATGTACAAGAAAAAAACAAACAACCCCATCAAAAAGTGGGCAAAGGATATGAACAGACGCTTCTCAAAAGAAGACATTTATGCAGCCAAAAGACACATGAAAAAATGCTCATCATCACTGGCCATCAGAGAAATGCAAATCAAAACCACAATGAGATACCATCTCACACCAGTTAGAATGGCAATCATTAAAAAGTCAGGAAACAACAGGTGCTGGAGAGGATGTGGAGAAATAGGAACACTTTTACACTGTTGGTGGGACTGTAAACTAGCTCAACCCTTGTGGAAGTCAATGTGGCGATTCCTCAGGGATCTAGGACTAGAAATACCATTTGACCCAGCCATCCCATTACTGGGTATATACCCAAAGGACTATAAATCATGCTGCTATAAAGACACATGCACACGTATGTTTATTGCGGCACTATTCACAATAGCAAAGACTTGAAACCAACCCAAATGTCCAACAATGATAGACTGGATTAAGAAAATGTGGCACATATACACCATGGAATACTATGCAGCCATAAAAAATGATGAGTTCACGTCCTTTGTAGGAACATGGATGAAATTGGAAATCATCATTCTCAGTAAACTATCGCAAGGACAAAAAACCAAACACCACATATTCTCACTCATAGATGGGAACTGAACAATGAGAACACATGGACACAGGAAGGGGAACATCACACTCTGGGGCCTGTTGTGGGGTGGGGGGAGAGGGGAGGGATAGCATTAGGAGATATACCTAATGCTAGATGACGAGTTAATGGATGCAGCACACCATCATGGCACCTGTATACATATGTAACTAACCTGCACATTGTGCACATGTACCCTAAAACTTAAAGTATAATAATAATAATAATAATAATAATAATAATAATAATAAAGACCAAAAAAAAAAAAGAATGTTTGTGCGGACAGCTACGCTCTAAGAATCCAGCTCTCTTGGGCTCCAAGCTCAAGCTCTCTGGGGCTTCACCCAGTGACAATGGCCGGAAGGACAGGACACAGTGAAATGGCACCAGTGAGTCAGAGGCCAAAGGAGGATTTCTGGCCCCAGCGCGCAGGATGTGCTTTGTTATAGTGGGGTTGGGATAGCGGAGCGGAGGCAAGGACACTCTGGGAATAAATGGCGAGAAAAAGTGCGCTAGGGAGGATCCAAAGCCTTCAGACTTCTTCCTTTCCTTCCTGTTGGGTGGGAGGGGACCAACATGGTCCCTGGTGGGGAGGTCCGTGGGATGCAGAGAATGGGGTCGCTGCAAAGGGGCGTTGCGCGCCCCACGCAAGGCTTCTGGCACTCTTCTCCTAGCTACTACTGATGAGTTCAAACTAGCAGGAGACTAAGACGTGTCCTTTGCTATGTAGACTCCATATCTTGCACTTCGGCTGGTTTACTAAATCCATCTTAATAAAACACAAAAACAAAGAACCAAATTCTGCGTGTGATATTTCTGACCTCTAGAAGGTCCTCCCTCTCCCCATTCCTCGTGGGCTCCCTTCTTGCCCCGCCCCCTCCGCTTTGTCTCCACTTCTCCATCCCTGTCCATCTCTGGACCCCGCTCCTGAGTATCTCCCCCCTTCTTCAGAGGACTTCCCCTCATGGAGTACAGTCTCCTCCACCTCCAGGAAAAAGAGACAAAGTCCACTGAGAAGGAACTGAGAGACTCCTGTTACTCCACCCCTGAAGTCAGCCTGTCCCACAACGCTCACTCAGGCTGCATGTGTGTGTGTGTGTGTGCCTGTGTGTGTGTGCCCGTGTGTGTGAATCTGTGTGTGAGAGTGTGTCTAAATATGTGTGTGAATGTGTGTGCGACTGTGTGTGCCTGTGTGTATCAGTTAGCGTGTGTATCTGTATATGAGAGAGAGTGTGTGTGTATGTGTGTGTGTGTGTGCGTGAATGAGAGTCAAAGTGCTAAACCTGGCATCCAGGAAACCTCCCCACCTTGGCACTGCACGCAGGAGTCAGTGTTATGTGCACCTGTGCTTTTATTTCAGGAGCTGAGACAATTGTATTAATCAGATGTGCAGAGAGCCAAGGGCCCCACGCTGGAAAGCATCAGAGAGGAGGGTGAGATTGGAGGAGCCCCTGACTCCAAGTCTCTTGATCACTCTTACACAGGGATCTTGAAAAAAAAGTGCAGGACACTCCGTTCTCTCCTGGGAGTGACAGGGAAGCCAGAGCCACTGTGCGTGTCAAATTCCATCAAAGAAAAACCATTATAGCAAAACTTCCATGTCACAGTTTTAAGCCTGCACAATGACTCAAATAGAACCAATACCAAAAAAACAAATTCCTAGCTCAGGTGAGGTCAGTGAAGTTGGCTGTCAGGTGTAAAGGAAACTGCAGGTATAAAGAAGGACACCTGTAGGTAGGGCTGCAGCCCAGTCGCCCCTGCATCTTAGGGCGCCTGGAAAGGACTGTCTCCATTCAATAGTGCAGGGTGAGGACATTTTGGGGGAGAAATATAGACTGTCCTTAGACCCCTGGGGTTTGTACATTTACTTTCTGACTTTTTAGCTGTTGACTTCATTTTTGAACAAATTACAGTTACATAAATTTGCTTTGACTTTAAGTGTAAAACAGGAAAATATTCCTGAAACAGGAAACAAGGGCCAAGTGACCTGCACTGTCACCCCCCTCTGTGGCTCCCTGATGCAACACAATTGTGAGCCAACAAATCTATGGCTAGGGAAACAGTCAACTCCATTTCTGCAAATGTTTCAGATGTTCCTTCTTGCTGAGTAATGTTCTAGTTTTGCCCCAGCCTTAATATTTTAAGTCTATATTTTCCCAGCTGTTTTTTTTTTTTTGTTGTTGTTGTTTTTGAGAAGGAGTCTCATTCTGTCACCCAGGCTGGAGTGCAGTGGCACGATCTCGGCTCACTGCAACCTCCGCCTCTCAGGTTCAAGCGATTCTCCTGCCTCAGCCTCCCCAGTAGCTGGGATTACAGGGGCCCGCCACCACGCTTGGCTAATTTCTGTATTTTTAGTAGAGATGGGGTTTCACTGTGTTGGCCAGGATGGTCTCAATCTCCTGACCTCGTGATCTGCCCGCCTCGGCCTCCCAAAGTGCTGGGATTACAGGCATGAGCCACTGCGCCAGGCCTTGTTGGTTTTTAAATAATGCATGTATATTTATTATTTGGTTTGTTGTAGTAAGCCATCTGGAATCAACTGTGGAAATAAATGAATGGTTCTCTATTAAATAACTGCTGAGACCATCTGAAAAATGTATTAACCCCAAAACCAATCACTTCACACTCGTCTACTGCCTCCTCCCCAGAGCCATTCTCTCTAGGATAGTAAATCCGACGGGCCTTCCAGCTGGGCTGCCTGCTGCATCTCATGCAGCTGTCCATCACCCACACAACAGGCAGAGTGAACCTTTCGAATGGGAATTAGAGCCCATCCTCACCACCACATCCCAGAGACACTCCAGCCTCTTCCCTTCCTCTCTCCATTTCCTATTAGCCCCTCAACACGGGGCCCCTCTGGCCATTCTGGCCTCATCTCACCACTCTCAGCCCAGATCACTCATCTGCACTCGCACCAGTCTCTTGTCACTGCTCAATCCTGTCTCTGCCACCGGCCCCTGCTGGTACTCCCACATGCACTTGCTCCCTAGGGATCCACATGGCTCACTCCTCATGCCATTCGGTTCTCTGCTCAAATGTCCCTTAGTCAAGTTCTCAGGAACCTCTTATCCAACAAAATATATCTCCTGCCATCCTCACCACCACCAATCTTCTAACCCGAGTATATTTTCTCCATAACAATTATCACTGATATTAGAATAAATTTGAAAGTTGTTGTCTGTACCACTAAAACATATTATTTGAGGCCAGGACCTTGTCCAGCCACCACTTGTATCCCTAGCATCTAGAACATACCAGTACAGAGGAGGGGCTTAACAAATAAGAGGTGAATGATGGGTGAATATAATTGGTATGCTGCTTTTGATAAGCAATTTTATAACATGTGTGTCCGAGGCGGGTGGATCACCTGAGGTCAGGAGTTCGAGACCAGCCTGACCAACATGGTAAAACCCCGTCTTTTCTAAAAATAAAAAAATTAGCCAGGTGTGGTGGTGCACGCCAGTAATCCTAGCTACTCGGGAGGCTGAGACACAAGAATGACTTGACCCTGGGAGGTGGAGGTTGCAGTGAACCGAGATTGTGCCACTGCACTCCAGCCTCAGTGACAGAGTGAGACTCCATCTCAAAAACAAAGCAAAAAAAGTTCATGCAGTTTGACCAAATAATTTATATTTGAGAAATCTGTAATTCTACAATGAAATGCAAAATATAGAAGAATCTTTAGGTATAAGGATATTAATCAGATATTATTTACAATAAGGAAGAAGAACTTGTAAAAGAAGAGTAGCTGGGTCATTTTTTGGAAATAGTATACAGCCAGGAAAAGTACTGTTTAAGAAGAGTTTATGATAACATATAAAGTTGCTTATTGATAATAATAAAGTTTGAAAAGCAAGATTCAAAATAACTCATACAGTGTGACTGCACTAAGTCATCCTGCACAGACACCACATGCACAGAAACCAGGGGTGGAAACTCAGGGGGCAGCTGCAAAGCACAGCTCCAGGGCCCCTTTTCACTGACGTCTCTGAGGCTCTGCCAGGCAGAGGTTCATCCGGATCCTCCCAGTGGGGACACAGGTGTTTTCCATCTTTCTGCTTCACTACATTTTTTATATTTTCTGTAATTGAGCAGATTCTACTTTCTAAAAGGGTAAAATGCTGATTATGAAGTTTTACAACATTTGAAATACAATTTTAATGAAAAAGTCCAAATGTCCTGTCCCAACTCAGGTCACTTTCTCTTTTTTTAGAGATAGGGACTTGCTCTCTCACCCAGGTTGTAGTGCAGTGAGTTGATCATAGTTCACTGCCGCCTTGAGCTCCTGGGTTCAAGTGATCCTGCTGCCTCAGTCTCCAGAGTAGCCAAGACTACAGGAAAGCCCCAAAATGACCATCTAATTTAAAAAAAAAAATTGAACAGAATACATCTCACTGCTTCCCAGGCTGGTCTTGAACTCCTGGGCTCAAGTGATCCTCCTGCCTTAGCCTCCCCAGTGTTCTAGGATAACATGGGTGAGCCACTGTGCTCAGTCCTAACTTAGCTTGAAGCAAAGTCTCCTCTCCATGTCATAGGGCAAAAACTCCAGCTGATGGAGCCTTCAGAAAGAAGAAATAAACTCTTCCTCCACAATGCCTCATCCATCCCTGGGTTATAGGCGTCGGCTGAATGATAAAGTCAACACTGAGAATATGATCATTTTAGATTACTGATTGTCATTTAATTTTAATTCCACCACACCTGAGAGAGTGGGATGGATTCTTTCTTTTATTATGATTTGAGCATCTGAGTCCCTTCCATCCTGAACATCTGACATGGGTGCTTCAAAAATGTAGGTCTTGAGACTTAAAGGGCACTTGGTCTCCTGAGCAGGCCCCCTGCATGCGCCACACCCACTAAGGCTCCATAACAGTGGGAAGAGCAGCCACAGTCAGAGCCCAGGTGGGTTCACACTGAGGGACCATCCACATCCAGGGTACGCTGAGGAGGGGCTGAGGTGAGAATCCAGCCCCTGCCTAGGCTCTGGGTGAGAGGTGGGCAGGACAGTCAGCTACTGAGTATTACTGGAGCTATTGCCTTTTTTCTCCTGAAGACCCCACCCCTGCACACACCAAAACTTTACATTCTTTGTGGAGCAATTTTCTTTTTAGAAATGTAAACACCCCCTAATCTTAAAGCCACCCAATATCACTCATAGTGACACCGCAGTAGGATAAGCTCTTAACTCCCACCAAATTAGCCTCAGAGTTGTAGTTTTTGTTTGTTAGACATGGGGTCTTACTCTGTCATCCAGGCTAGAATGCAGTGGCATGATCACGGCTTACTGCAGCCTCGAACTCCTCGGCCCCAGAGATCCTCCCACCTCAGACTCCTGAATAGCTGTCACTAGAGGTGAACGCCACAAGCCCCAGCTAATGTTTTGTGTTTTTTGTAGAGATGGGGTTGTGCCATGTTGCCCAGGCTGGTCTCTAAGGCCTGGGCTCAAGTGATCTGCTGCCCCGGCCTCCCAAAGTGCTAGGATTAGCATGAAGCCCCACACCAGGCCTGCAGCTGAGTATTTGGAGCTAAGGCAGGAAGTTGCTGTGGAGTTTGTACCCAGCTAATTTGAAAGGTGGTCCTGAAAGGTAAAGTGCGATTAGGTGGACCTTGGTGGGGAAGCATAGATGTTTCTGGTGAGAAGAGAACAAGATAGATGGGAAGCTTCTAAAAGTGAACATCAGTGGGCCCTGTGCTCACACAGCACTGGGATTTGGAAGACCTTTTCCCACCCACTTTTGGCTTGTGAGCTTTTATTCCACCTTCTTGTCTCCTAGGTCATTGCAGGAAATCCCTTCATTTGGTAAACATTTATCAAACACCTACCATGTGCTAGGCATTGTGTTAAAGGAGCTGGGGCTGAGGTAAGAGGAACCAAACCCCCCTTGCCTTCAAGGTTAAGCCGTCTTGCTCAGGCAGAGATCAGTAAGGAAACTCTTTATTTATTTATTTATTTATTTATTTATTTATTCATTTATTTTTTTAGACAGAGTCTCACTCTGTTGCCAGTAAGGAAATTCTTACACAAATGGTTGGCAGAATATGCAACTTGCTTTGCGGATGCACATGTAGACCATCTGCTCTGACCAAGGAGTCACAGAAGCTTCATAAGACACAACATTTGAGCTGCGTTTTGAGGTATAAATAGGAGTCTGACAGGCATCCAGGACAGGAGAGCATTGCTCAGAACCCAGGACATGAATTTTTCTCTCCTAGGCCAGGCCAGGACTCAGACTAAGCTGACTGAGGAGCCAGGTGCTTCCTGGCAAGGAAGTGTGTCCCATATATGACTATCCAGAAGTCACAGCTGCTCAATATTGAGTCTTGAGACAGAGAGAGAGAGGCCTGATTTGAAATGCAGAATTCTGCTGGGGGCCCGTTAAAATGCAGTTTCTGATTCAGTAGGTCTGAGGCAGGGCCTGAAAATTGCATTTCTAACAAGTCCTCAGGTGATGCCAATGCTACTTGTCCCAGGAACACACTTTGAGAATCACCACCCTAAGGCAATCCATATTGATTTCTAATATCAGAAGAGGGCTGACAGGCAAAGGTATAGGATAAACTAGACCATGCATGGGCCATCTTGGAGAGCACCCCACCCAAGTCTGCAGCATTTGATTTCCTTGGGATCCCGGGAATGGCAGACACCCAGGAAGGAATCAAATGTGGGGTTACAGGGCAATCCAGAGGCTGAGCTTCACACAGCATCTGGGGTTCCCACTACTTCACAAGTGGCCCCCACACCCCCAATCCTTCCCACCCCTTATGAAACTGACCTACGAGTCTTGCTCTGCTGTCCTGGGCTGTTTGGGCCTGGGATGTGAGCTCTGACTATACCTTCTGATCCAAATACAGGGTGACCTCATATGACACATACTTAGAATGGGCTCATAATGAGAACCTTCCAAATTCAGCAAATGGATTCAATCGTGTGTTTTCCAGGAGAATTACCAAGTGTTCTCTTTTCTAAATATCACATACTTGAGCTCACATGGACAGTAGAGGAAGTTCTGAGCCTGCTGAAGCCACAATTGGTACATTGGACCCCGTAGAATTCCTTGTAGATTGGGCTTCACCATTTACATCAGGATTTGGTCAAAATTTCCTTCACCAAACCGGTTGCATTTGTTAAGTAACCATGCTCTCATTTTGACTTTTAATGAATGAAAGACAGACACACACATAAAGAAAGATAGTGCAATGAAAAAGAAAACAACATACTGAATTAAAGTGACAGGAAACATCCTTGTTTGAGAAGTGATATAATTTTTAGACAGTTTTTTTTTTTAATTAAGGAAGGTAAGAGAATTAATTCTGTTAGGCTCTTTTTTTAAGTTTTTTATTTTGAAGGATTTGATTTTGTTTGTTTTGTCTGCCTTGGAATTATCTTTTATTTTATGTTTTGACTTGGCTCAAAACTCAAAAAGTTAAAAGTCTCTCTCTTATGCTACCCCATCTTGACAGGCAGCTATTTATATCAGTTTCTTGCTTATTCTTTCAAAGGCATTTTATGCATATGCAAGTCAATCTAAATGTATATGTATATAATCTTTCTCCCATTTCACACAAATTTTAGCAAACTACATATGCTTTCCTGCACCTTGCCTTTTCCCTTCACATTGTATCACAAAGACCATCACATGAAGAAATACCAAGAGCTTAGCTACATCTTTGTTTGAAATTTTCATGATACACCATTGTATATATATGCAATATTTTAAAAAAAAATAGAGATTGCTTCTTTTGAGTGCGGTGCTTTTTAATCAGCCCCCTCTTGATAGGCATTTGGATTATTTCTTTCAGAGAACAATTTTGCATCATGTAACATCATATGGAAAAGCTGTAGTGACCCCACTCCTATATGCATATTCTAGGGAAACTCACATATCTCTGAGAGCAGGAGGCAATGTCCCAGGATGTTCATTGCAGTGAGGTCTACAATAGAGAAAATCTAAAGGTCAATGAAGAGGGAAAGAGAAGAATTGTAGTATATTCCTCCCATGGAATACTATCCACCAATGAAAGCAAATGAACTATTTGTATGAACATAGATTCATGTCATAGAACATGTTAACTGAAAAAGCAAGCAAATGAATGATAAAATTAGCCAGAAACAATTTATAAGAAGTCTAAAAGCAAAGCCAGGCAAGGTGGTGTACACTTGTAATCCTAGCACTTTGGGAGGTCATGGTGGGTGGATCGCTTGAGTTCAGGAGTTCAAGACCAGCCTGGGAAACATGGCAAAAACCCTCTCTCCAAGAAATACAAAAATTAGCCCGGCATGGTGGAGCATAGCTATACCCCCAGCTACTTGGGTGGCTGAGGTAGGTGTATCACTTGAGCCTGGGAGGTTGAGGTACAGTGAGCTGTGTTTGTGCCACTGCACTCAAGCCTGGGTGACAGAGTGAGGAGACCTGTTCTAAAAAAACAAGTCTAAAAGACTTCAAACAAAGAGATTTCCTAAAACTTAGTAAAAATATAAAGGCATACACTAAATTCAAGTCACACATCCTCTTGCAATTCTTGATTTGCTCAGTACAGTACTGACTGAAACATGTGCATATCAGAGCTGTGAAAAATCAAGGCTATCTACATATATTTCTATTATTTTTCTATGTATACTACATATAGCCAATAATATTAAAATGTCGCCAATTGACAAACCTGGGTGGTGCCTTCACAAAGATTTTTTATAATTTTCTATTCTTTCTTCCAGCTGGAACTACTTTGAATTAATGTTTGTGAAGTGAATCCACAGGAACTGAGCAAAATAAGAAAAGAGTTATTGAGTGTGAGGAAAGCTGCACAGAGGTACAGACAGATGGAGAGATGACAATACTGAGCATGTCAGTGACCTTCACAGTAACAGACTTCCTGGAGGAGTGTGAGCTTGAGCCAGAATGAAGAGGATAAAATATAAAAGAGGGATGAAGGAGTGGGGACTTTAGGGGGCAAATATGGGATTGAGTAGGCCAGACTGGGAAGCGTGGATGGATTCTAAACATTCCGCTTTAGGTCTAGCACTTAGAGAAAGAGAAATCATGTTTATTTAGCTCCTTCCACAATCTTTAGAGAAATCTTCTGAAACATTACAAAAAAGACACATGAATGGCCAATAGTCATCAGGGAAAAATGCAAAGTAAAACCACAGCGAGAAACCACTAAGCACTTATTAGAATGGCTGAAATTTAAGTGATTAATAAATATAAATGTTGTCAAGGATGTGAAACAGTCTCATCCACTGCCTATAAGAATATAAAACAGCCACTCTGAAAATCACTTTTATATCATCTAATAAAGTTAAACAAGCTAGTACTCTATGGCTAGCATTTCCACTCCTAGGTATTTACTCAAGTGAAATAAAGATTATGTCCAAGAATCCCTGTACAATAATGTCCATAGTTCATTTGTAACAATAAAAAACCGTGAATACCCCCAAAATGTACAAAAAAATTGTGACTCAGTGATACAATGCAATACTACCAGCATTAAAAATGAATGAATTACTGATACATGCAACAAGCTGGGCAGACCACATAGATATTACACCAAGTGCAAAAAGCTAGGCACAAGGGAGGCCATATGGGATGAATGGATACGTATGAAGTTTTGAAACAGGAAGAGCTACTCTATCATGATAGTCATCAGATCAATGGCTGCTGGGGAAAGGGGGCTAATTTGAAGGCAGAAAAATAGAGAACTTCGTGTATCTTCATAGTGGCATGGGTGCTATGGCTGTATTTGTCAAAATTCATTGATGAATTTGATACAGATCTGATCATTTCAGTATATGTAAATTTTACAAGTTTAAAATGCTTACAATAAAAATTTAAACGTTAGTAATAAAAAATAGTAATTGAAAATATTAGCAACAAAATCCAACAACAGATCAAAACAATACACCATAATCACGTGAGTTTTATACCCAGGATGCAAGGATTGTTTGACATATGTGAATCAAAATATGTCATATACCGCATCAACAGAATGAAGGACATAAACCATATTATCATCTCAATAGATGCAGAAAAAGCATTTGGTGAAACTAAACATTGCTTCTTAATGAGAACTCTCAAAGGAGTTCCTCTGACAAAGGAACCAAGAATATACACTGGGGAAAGAACAGTCTCTTAAATAAATGGTGCTGGGAAAATGCTACCAGATGCAGAAGAATGTAACTAGACCCCTGTCTCTCACCATATACAAAAAATCAACTCAAAAGGGATTGTAGACTTAAACGTAAGACCCAATACTGTAAAACTACTAGAAGAAAACTTATGGGAAACATTAGTCTAGGCAAAGATTTTATGGCTAAGACCTCTAAAGCACAGGCAAAAAAAGTAAAAATAGACAAATGAGACTATATTAAGCTAAAAAGCTTCTGCACAGCAAAGGAAACATCCAACAGAATGAAGCAATAACCTGTTGAATCGTGAAAATATTTACTAAGTATTCAACCAACCAGTATATTCATCCAATTAGTATATTCTAGACTAATATCTAGAATATACAAGGAACTCAAAAACTTGGCAGTAAAAAATACAAATAATCCAATTAAAAAGTGGACAAAGGATCTGAATAGACATTCCCCAAGAGGAGGCATACAAGTGGCCAGCAGGTGTGTGAAAAACACCCAACATCACTAAATACCAGGAAAATGAAAATCAAACTACAATGAGATATATCTTACCCTAACCCTAGTTAAGATGGCTATTATTAAAAAATAAAAAATAATAGCTGTTGGTGAGCATGTGGAGAAAGGGGAATGTTATACACTGTTGGTGGTCATGTAAATTAGTGCAGCCATTATGGGAAACAGTAGAGTGATCTCTCAAAAAAACTGAAACTATTAATAGAACTACTATCTGATGCAACAATTCTACTTCTGAGTATTTATCCAAAGGAAATGAAGTCAATATATCAAAAGAGTACCTGCACACCCATGTTTATTGAAGCACTATTCACAATAGCAAAGATGTGAAATCAATGGTGAATTTATCAATGGGTGAATGAATAAAGTAACTGTAGTATATACACAATGGAATGCAATTCAGCCATAAAAAAAGAGTGAAATCCTGTCAGTTGCAGCAACATGGATGGAACCAGAGGTCATGTTAGGTGAAATGAGCCAGGCAAGGAAACACAAATATCACATGTTGTCACTCACATGTGTGAGCTAAAGACGTTAATCTCATGGAGGTTGAGAGTAGAATGAAAATTACCAGAGGTTGGGAAGAATGTAGGGGTGGGAAGATGTAGAGAGGTAGATTAATGGGTACAAATGTACAGTTATATAAAAAAAAAAAGTTCTAATGTTCTATAGCACAGCAGGCCAACTAAAGCTAACAATTATGTATATTTAAAACAGCTAGAAGAGTGGATTTTAAATGTTCCCAACACAAGGAAATGATACATGCTTGAGGTGATGGATTCCCTAAACACCCTGACTTGATTATTCCACATTCTGTGTATGTATCAAATGATCACATGTGCCCCATAAACATATAAAATGTTATGTATTACCTTTAAAAAATATTTTTAAAATAAACTCAACACAATATGGGACATTTTAAAAAGTACAAAAATATGACCATGATAAAAATTGGCAAATATTTCCTTTTTATTAAGATCCACTTTGTAAGTTCAAGCAGAATGAAGCCCATACAGCATCAGAAGAAGTGGCTCTCCTGAGAGAATCTTCTCCCCAGTTAGAAAGGCAGAAACAGAATTCCTGGAGAAAGTAAGACTCTGGAGAACTGCATAGCACCTCTTCTTGGGGTCTGGGGTTACCCAGATGTAGGGAGGGTTCACCTTCTGGGAAAAACTAAACGTTGGTTCTTGTTCTTTTTTGTTCTTATTGCAAGACCAAAAATTGAGAAAACCAAGAGAAAGCACCAAGCCAAAGGGATATACTCTCTTTTATTTTTTAGAATATCCACTACCAAGGATGATCCACGCTGTTATGAGACGAATTGTGTCCCTCCCCAACCGAAATTCATATGTTGGAGTCCTATGTTGAGAAGACAGAAGTGGCCATCTACAAGCCAAGGAGAGAGGCCTCAGGAAAAAGCAACCCTGCAGCACCTTGACCTGCACCTGTAGCCTCCAGAACTGTGAGACAATACATATTTATTATTTTACTCACCCAGCATGTGGTACTTTGTTATGGTAGCCCTAGCAAATTAAAACAGAAATATTACCTTTTCTACTCTGTCCTATGTATGAACATGAGACTTTTTAAGAATATGAATTACCTGGGATTCCAAAACATAGAGTGAGTCAATGGAAAATAGATGATACAGGGTCATTTCCAAGCCTTTGTGGGTCTCCTGGCCACCACACAAACATGGATGTGTTCCCATTTCTTTTCAGTTTCACACAGTGCAAAAGTTGTGGACATAGAATCACAAACTGTGTTTAATTTATTTGAGACATTGAGTGAGCTAGTTTTGCCCTAATTTTATAGAAAGATGATGAACAATCATAATTACTAAACCAAAGAGGCTTTTTGGCAGGGGATGGCAGGTACTATGTTTTCTCCTCCTTTTAAAGTGCATTTTCCTAAAGAGTCTTGTCTAGGAGTAAATGTCATCACTTTGCTTTTTTCCTCCGCATTGATCACTTGGTCCTCCCTGCATTTCAGTAAGGTTGCTAGAATGGAGGCATTTGTCCATGATTCACAGATGAATCAGAGGCCCTATGAGTAGAGAGCTTCTCCTGAAGTCACACAGCTCGTGAGTGGTGGAGCAATGACAGGCACATGACTCTCCAGGTCCCTAGTCCAGTTTTCTGGGTGCCATGAGAATTACAGCCTTTGGTTCCTTTTACATGTAGTTCATTTCTGAACCTGAGAAGGAGAATGCACCTCAGGTGACTAACAGTTTTTGCTCTTCTGTACTTGTCTGAGAATGACCCCAAAAGATTTTTAAAGGCCAATTCTTTGGCTACCAACCCTATTTTGCCCAGGCATGGACATGGAGCAGGTGAACACTGCCTTTACCTGTGACATGCCTGAAGATTCTGAGACCTACGTGAATCAGGTAAGCTCCATACACAGAGGGACACCCACTCTCCCACCCACTTATTTTCTGTATCTTTTCACACTTCACTTCTTCATTCCTCCCTCTGGCTGTCTTCCCTCTTTGGGGTCTTCTAGTCCTAACCTCTGTCTCCTTCCAGGTGACTAGAGCAGGCTGGTTTGGAACGGGGCTTGTGTCGGATGAGAATTGTGCCAGGATCCTCAGTGATGGGCAGCATCACTTTAAGTTCAGTGTTAGGAGCTACCTGCTGAGACAGACGTCTCCTCCACAGTGAGTGCTGATTTCATGAAACCCTTAGTTCCTCCCTATTCCTTACTGTGTCTTCAATCCCATCATGTAGGTCATGGGCACTTAACGCATAATGAACAATTGACTGCTTCATGCCCCCTGGCCGTTGATGCTGTGTTGGGACGTTTTGCTGCCCTCTATGTGGGGTCTGTGCCTTTTCTCATATTACATCTCTTCCACCACGCCCAAGTCCATCCTCTGAACCCAGGCAGTACACCAGCATCTGCATGTGTGCTGTGTGTTCCTGCCTTGCTTTGTCCTTTCATGCCTTATTCTCACTGTGCCATGTCTCCTTCTCAGTTGAACAGATGCAGTAGGAGACTCGCTCATTCTGGAATGTGACCATCTGCCCTTCAGGAGAGGACAGCAGGGTGTGGGTGAAGGAGACCCTGCTGCCCCCACACCTGACAGCCTCCACCACCCCCTGGCTTTCCTCTTCTGCATCAGCACCACTCCCGAACCATCATTCCTGATCGTCAGAATTTTTAATGTAACTAAACATGAAACACAAGTGCATCTGCATTATGTGTGGGTGCTCTCTCCCTTTATTGTATTTGGGGTAAGATTATTTTAGGGCATGGTCCAGGGTAAATTCCTGTAAGGCCTGGATGCCCTGCTGTGAGGTCAAAGGGGGACGGACTGCAGAGCCCTGGCTCCCCAACTACCTGCCTATTTCCGGCCCTTTGTTGGGGTCTCTTCTGCTTTATCTGGCCTGAGAGAGGCTGGGATGTTTCTGATCCTGGGGCTCCTGGTGGATGGTGCGCAGTATTTCCAGGGATGGAGGGTGCTGTGGGCACTGGTGGGAAGCTTGAGTGTCTCCACCCAGGCTTTCTTGGTGCCTCCTCATCTATTCCTTCAAATTCTAGACCTTGAGCACCAGGGCCTGGGCCCCTGACCCCCTCCTGCCCTTCCAGCAGGGCCTGGTCCAGCTCCAGCAACTCCTCAGCTTGGGCCAGCTCAGCTGTGTTGGGGGCTCATGGCCCTGGTGAGGGGGAGTGGTGGAGGGAGCATCAGCCAGGGCAGGGGGCTGAGGCCCTTGGAACCTGTATTGCAGGGTCTGGCTGTAAATGAGGAATTCTACCTCCCTTTCCCTTTTTCTAGCCCATTAGCTTAAGGCCTCCTGTACTGAGAAGCCCAGGGAGCCCCTTGTCTTGGGCATAGGCCTCTGGGGGGCAAATAGAGATCCCTGGCTCAGGGAGTATAACTGGATACCTTGAACAAGGATATGGGGTCACTGGAAAGAGAGGACCGGCTGTCCCTCTCCGCTAAGAAATAATTAACTGTTAGATGAGGGGGAATTTCTGTTCAAGGGCTCTGTGGACTGTGCTGCTCTGGAGGGGGTGGGGAGAGAGAGCCCTGAGGTCTGAGCTGGGGTGTGGTTGGGAAGGAGCTGAGAGCTCAGAGCTGGAACTAGGCAAGGAGCTGCAGGGGTGAGGGTGGTGCAGGGTGGGATTTAGAGGATTTCCCCTGACTCCTGTGCTGATCCCCTTCACGTCCTCCACCCCCACCCTTGGTGTCCGTCAACATGCTGGGGTGACCTCATCTTCCCACTGTCCCTGGAGCTGTTCTACTCTTCCACGCTTGCCTTGGGGTTTTCAGAGCAGCATCTTTGTGAGTCCTGGAGAGCTAGGGACCAGGAGGGCAGGAGGAGGTGAAGACAACAGCACCGAGAGATCCTGGAAGAGAAAGGACCATGGTAGCTGAGGCAGGGAGCAGTCTGAGTTGCCTAGAAGACACCAAGAGTTCGCTCCCTCCAGGCCTTGGCTTTGCTTCAGCACCTGGTGCTGCATAGGCCCCACCCCTGCCCTGCTCTGCTGCCTCCACCTCCCTCTCAGCCTGGTCCCAGACAGAATCCAGACCAATTCCTGTTTCTGATGTGAAAAATGATCCTGCCAGTTTAGGCAGAGCTTGCTTTAGAGCACTGGTGCCCAGCCTTCCACAGGTCTTGTGTCTGTTTTTCTTGGCACTGGGTTTCTTCTCACTTATTCTTCTGAATTGGCAAGGCAGGAATTACATCACTAGTTTGCAGATGAGGAAACTGACTCGTATGGGCTCATTCAGCACTCACTCACTGGGCAAGTGTCTGTCAGGGCCAACTGTGGGCCAGATGTGCCCAGGGCTCTATAGCTAGCTGGTGGAAGGGCCTGGAGGGTTCATATTCAGGTCCACCTGACTTGAAAACTCATATTGACCTTACTTAAGTACTGATTCCCGATTTACAATCCATGCCACAAACTTTATTGTCATATCTAAAGAAGTTGCCACAGCAGCCTTTAGCAACCACCCTCCTGATCAGCCAATAGTCAACACTGAGGCAAGACCCTCCCCCAGCAAAAAGATTAGCAAAACCTCCACACCCTCTCTCAGGATGTTCCTGCACCTCACAGCTACAGCAGCAACCTGGTCTCCCTGAGGACACGACCCCCTCCAAAGTCCTCCCACATGGGGGAGTTTTCCCAGGGACTTGTACCCCTGGGTTCAGAGGTGAGGTGGGGTCCTTGCTCCTCACTGTGGTTCTCACACCTTTCTCCCTCCCTCCTCCCTAAACCCCTAAGCTGTCAGCAGATTAGGGCCCCATTCCCCATGTTGTAGCCATTCCCTTTGTGCCCCAAGCCATTCCTCTTAATCCTGACCCTTGTAGCTCCTGGTTCACTGTCACCCTCTCCAGCAGTGCGTCTCCTTGACTCTTGGTGACTTCAACATACGCAGATGTGGTGGGCTGAGTAATGGTCCCCAAAGATGTCCAGGCTTAATCGTTGGAACATGTGAATAGGTTGCATTGCATGGCAAAAGGGACATTAATCATGTAATGAAGATTAAGGACCTTAAAATAGGGAGAGTATCCTGGACTATCTGCGTGGGCCCAATCAAATCACATGAGCCATTAAAAGCAGAGAAACTGCCCTGGCTGGAGTCAGATTCTGCAGAAGAGGAAACAGAGGAGAAGCTGGAGAGAGGAGGTCAGACGTTCCAAGCAGGAGGACTGGATGTGCCTTAGGCGCCATGTGTGAGTACCTGAGAGAAAACTCTAGGAGCTAAGGGTGGCTCTTAACAAGGAAGTGGAAATCTCTGTTCTATCTGCAAGGAAGTGAATTCAGACAAGAACTTGAATGAGCTTGGAAGTGGATTCTTCCCCAGTCTCCAGGAAGGAATGCAGGCCTTCCCGTACATTGATCTTAGCCCCATGAGACTGTGTGGACTTGCAACCCACATGACTGTGACATGATAATTAGGTGCTGTTTAAAGCCACTTGGTTTGTGGTAATTTTTATGGCAGCAACAGACACCTATACAGCAGAGAAGATGCCCTTGCTCCCTGGACTCTCAGATCCTGTAACTCCTCTCCTCCATGACCTTCTCCTCTCTCTGCCTGAATCTCATGCCCTTGTCATCCCCTAGGCCTCATCACGGCCAAGAACCCCAGCCCTTCCATACTCTCAATCTCACACTTCCCACTCTCTGGCCATCTTTCCACTCATCCCCTTGCAAGGTGGCCACAGGCTCTGATGACACAGACACTATCATTTTATCATATGCTGTGATGTAATATCAATGAACCACTCATTTCCTATGTGCCTGCATTCCAGGCTTGGAGTCCACCCTGTGGTACATCAATTCCAACAATCCTTCCAGCCCACTGGGATTCCCAATTGAGTGATCCTGCCATCTACTCCCTGTCACTCACCCTTGGTGTCCTCTCCTCCCTCTTCTCCCATTTTGAATTCTACAGTAAATAATTTCAATCCCTCCCTTGCCTCTCCCTTGCATTGTCATACTCACCTGGCAAAACTACACAGCTGGTGGGTTCCACCTCTGTCTATGCTGCACCTGCCCCATGAGCTGCAGGAGGCTGGACAGCAGCACACAACATGCTGACTGGTCTCTTTAAGATTCCAAACCTCATGGGGAGCCCCTACCATTGACGTGGCCAGCAATCACCCTCTCCCTACGTGGTTCACCCTCAGCCTCCTCTTGGCCTGGGTGACTCCTAGACACCTTCTCTCTGTGCTCACACATCCAACCCTTCTTCCCCATTCTTACCTCAGCTGACAACCTTGCCTCCTACCTCACTGAGAAAACTGAACACATTAGAAGACAACTTCCCCGATTCCACCACTGTCTGCTCATGCATTTGCAGCTGCACCACATGTCAGGCATTTTACCACGGGAGGGATTGCTGGGGGTTAACAATTCTGCTCCCAGTCAGAGCCAGTCCCTCTTCTGGTGCCCCAAACATCATCCCTTCTCATCTACTTAAAGTTGTCAGTTCATCAACTAGTATCTTTTTTTATCTTTATCATCAACTTTTTCCCTCTCTCCCCACTGGATCATTGTGGCAGTCATGAGAATGCACATCCCAGCCCCTCAGCTACAGGAAGCAGAATCGATGATGACCCCAGCTCTTGAAGCTTGAAATCTATTGCCACATTTGCTCTGATCCCACACCTGCCCCCTGATCTTTTCCAGCCAATGATTGAGGAAAGCAGGGCAGAAACTAAGGCAGGAATATTTCTCCTCTGAAGGCTGACTGCAGCCCCAGGGCTCCCTGCCTCCTTTACTAAATTTCCCTTAGCCTGCACAGGGTCTAGGATGCTTCCAGCTGAACTTCCTGCCCTCTCTCCTTCACTGGGGCTCAGAGTTGCAGTGTGGTCTGATGGCTCTCCCAGTGTTTTCTGTCTCTCTCCTGAATTTCTCTCACAAGTATTTCCCTGAATAAATCCTTGCACATTTACTACCGTATTGGGCTCTGCTCCTCAGGGGACCCTAACTAACCCAAGCGGTATGAAGGGTGACCCATGAAAACAGGCAAAAATGGGAATTTGAAATAATCTTGCCCACTGCCTGGCAGGCCAAGAGGATGCCACCCGGGTTGGTGGGGGACACAGAAAGTCCATGGCATAAGGTGCAGCTGAGGTGCTGTGGTCTCCTCAGTGCTGAGCTGAGAAGATGCCCTGGTTAGGGGAAGCTATGGCAGGTGAGGTGATAGAATGCCCTACACAATAATGATGAGGTTGGGGGAAACCTACAAAGACAGAGGAGTTGGGTGGTTACTGCTTGGCTGCGTTGATACCCTATAAAAGGATCATGAGAATCTGCGGGTTGTTAACAGCTGTCACTGGCTACAGGTGACAGCCTCTGCAGTGTCTCATGGAGAGGCCTTTATCTCCTGTAGCGAAAGGGCAGATAGCGTGGAATGGCAGCTGAAGACATCATTACGAGGGCCACAGTGCTCCAGACATGTCTGACACTCAGCCAAAGCAGGCCTGTTACAGGAAAGTCAGGGTCCTGGTGGGGAAACCTGAGATTCTGGAAACTGGAACCAGGATATCCGATGGGTGCCCTCCAGGACCCTCTGGGAATGCAGAGGAGGCTCACCATTATCTAATAATGATTCCCACTTCCTACGCTGGAAGATGCTGCAAAAGCCTCACCCCCGTGATTCTGCGGGAATCCTACTCAGCAGCTTTGCAGGAATTAGCCGCCATTTCCCCACAGGAGCCCAAGGAGCACTTCTGGGATTGGAATTTGAGGGCGTTTGATCAAGAAACCAGAATTTCAGGCTGGATGAATAAAAATCCTTTGGCTTGGAGGCACTTTCTCAAGGCATGGGTTTGTCAAACACCCCAGGACTTTGATAAGTGGAGCTAAACCCACCGCTGGGGTGAATCCATATAGATTGGAAAAAAAGATGCCCAACTCTCAACAAGGTAGACATGTCTTAGTTGCCCTGGTACATGTAAAGGAAGGAATAACGAGGCTGAGGGAAGTGGGCATGGTGAAGGCCCACCAGGGCCATGCTCCACAAGAGGGCCCAGAGGACACAACCTTCCACCAGAGCCTCAGGAACATGATGGTGAAAGGGACCTGCATCACTAAGTATAGGGGTGTTGTCCTCTGCAGGCTGCGGGTGATGGTAATAAAGATGGTCCCAGAGTTGCATTTATCCATATCCCTGGGGAGAGTGTGGCCCTGAAGAGACAGAGAAGAAGTGGTGGCAGTGACCTGAAAAAGCAGAGGGCATGGTTACTATGGCAACTTCAGAGTAGCAGCCAGGAGGACTCAAGTTGCAGGGAATGTGGGGAAGGTTAATAGAGGGTGGTGTCCCAGGGTTAGGACAGGCAGCCAACAAGGGCGCTGCTTGATATCTATGATAGGAATGAAAGAATTGAGGAGCAGGAGGGTGAAGGTGTTTGACCCAATACAAAGTCATGATCCCATCCTCAATGCCTAGACCTCAGCCAAGATTCAGATTCAGATCTCAGTGACAGAGGAGGAGTCCATATCCCTAGGAGGAAGACCCTGCAACCCTGTGGAAGTATATGCTGGCACAATTCCCTCAATCATTTGGCAAAGGAACCTATAGACATTTACTTGGGTGGTTGTACACTGGGGAAAGGAAACACGCAGAACTGGAGGGATTATTGACACTGGGTGTGAGCTGACATTGATGCCCAGATGCCCACAGCACTCATGTCTCCCATCACAGTGGGGCTTATGGAGGCCAGGGAGTAAACCTGGACAAATTATGGCCCACAATGGGACCACTGGGCCAACAGACCCAACGCTGGATATCTTTCAATTCCCTGAGTGCATGATTGACACTGCTGCACTGCTAAGTGGAGTCACCCCCACACTGGGTCCCTAGTCTGTGGAGTAAGGACTCTCATTGTGCTGAAAGCCAAACGGAAACCTCTGACACTGCCCACATCCTGGCCAAATCAAAAACCATAGTGTGTCCCAGGGTGGGTCTTGTGGAAGACACTGAAAGTATTATGGGGTCGCACCAACATTAGAGAGCTGAAGGATGTGGGGTGGTGTTGGGGCTGTCTATTGTCTCTATGTAATCCAGCAACCTGTCCCTGAGGGAAACTGGTAAGGCCTAAAGAATGAATGAGATTACTCCAGGTCTGGCCAAGTAGGAGTTATAATTGCAGCTTTTATGTTGTCTGGTTATCACTGGTAGAGCAGGTTAATAAAGCCCCGGGCACACAGTGTGCCGCTGTGGATTTGGTGAGTGCATTCCTTTCCATTCCAATTAGAAAGTGGATATGGGCTGGGCGCAGTAGCTCATGCCTGTAATCCCAGCTTTGGGAGGCCGAGGCCGGTGGATTACCTGAGGTCAGGAGTTCTAGACCATCCTGGCCAACATGGCAAAACCCCGTCTCTATTAAAAATACAAAAATTAGCCAGGCATCATGTCAGGTGCCTGTAATCCCAGCTACTCGGGGGGCCAAGGCAGGAGAATCACTTGAACACAGAAGGCAGAGGTTGCAGTGAGCCGAGATCACGCCATTGCACTCCAGCCTAGGGGACAAGAGCAAGACTTTGTCAAAAAAGAAAGGAAGGAAGGAAGGAAGGAAGGAAGAGGATATGGAGTGATTCACATTCATGTGGAATCAACGACACATTTATTTATTGTTTGCCTCAGGGCTATTGTAACACCTGTGCCCTCTATAGTATAGGCTTAAGACTGTACTGGACATACTGCATATCCTTTAGGATATTAAATCAGCACATTTCATTGACAACTTCATGTTGACTGGAGTAGATGAGCAGCAGGAAGAAAGTGCACTGTAGTCCTTTGCAAAACACACGCACCCCACAAGGTGAAGATAAACCTTATACAGCTTCAAAGGTGGGCACTGAAGTGAAGTTTTATGGGTGAACAAGTGCCAAGTGTTTAGGGGAATGCAGGTGTGTCCCCTCCAAGGTAAAAGAAAAACTGTTGCATCTTGCATCCTCACCAGAAGCAAGGAAGCACACTGCTTGGTGAGCCTCTTTGAATTATAACAACACCACATTCCACATCTAGACATTTTGCTTTGGCCCACAGTCTAGGTGACATAGGAGGATGCCAGCTTCAAGTGGGGCCTACACAGGAAAGGACCCTGCAGCAGATCCAGGCCATGGTACAAGCAGCCACCATCCCTCAGACCCCTGGGGCTGGTGGTGCCAGTGGTGGGGAAAGACACAGGATGGAGCTGAACCAAGCACCAGTGGGAGAGTCACAGTGGAGGGCCTGGGATTCTGGAGTAAGATCATGTCATCCACAGCAGAGACACATGCCCCCTGTTAGAAGCAACTTTTAGTGTTCCTTGTCCTGATTCAATAGAATGTTTGACCACGGGATACCAAGCAACTACGGGGTTCCAAGTGCCTGTGTGACCCACAAAGTCATAGATGGTACAGGCCCAACAGCATTCATCATCAGGTGAAAACAGTCCACCTGGGTTGAGCTTGAATCCCTTGCTGACACCCACAGAAAACACCCAAGTCTGAAGTGGCACTGAACTACCAAACAGACAAATGGCAGTTAGCCAGCTTTCACCATGGGTCAGCCCAGGCCTGGTAGGATGAGTGCATGAATGGAGCAACCACAGTGGCAGGCATGAGGCTCCGTAAGGGGCCAGCAGCACTGACTTCCCCACACCAAGGCAGATCCAGCTGCTGCCACCTCTGAATGTCCAACTCATCAGCAATTGAGGCCCATGATGTGCCCTAGTGGGGCACTATTTCTTTACATGACTACCCACTAAGTAACAAGTTGACTACATTTAGCTACTTCCAACCTGGAAGGGCCAGAGTTTCATCTTCACAGGGTTAGGTACCGATTCTATGGGTGGGTTTTCCTGTCCTGCTCTCAGACACAGCCAGCACCACTCTCTGGGTGCTGTTGACATTCCTGGTCTGCAGGCTAGGCAGTGCTCCTAGCCCATTATCTGCCTGAAGGACCCACTTTGCAGGGAAAGTTTCAGTGTTTCCACGGCTGTGGGTTCCACTAATCCTATCACCATCTGCACTACCCAGGAGCTGCCAGCCACAAGGAAGGCTGGACAGGTCTTCTACAGGCACAACTCAGTGCCAGCCTGGAGGAAGCACTCTGAGGGGTGGGTGCCATCTTTCAGGACACAGTGCATTGTTTGAATCAGAGACGTCTCTAGAGTTCTGTGTTCTCAATAGGAAGAACATGTGTGTCCAGAAATCAAAAGGCGGAAGCAGGTTTGGCTCCATGTCCAATCTCTTAGATTCACTCAATGGGGTATTTCGCATATTTTATCTCCCAACACTGGGCTGTGCAGGATACGAGGTTCTGGTTTCCAAAGGAGTGTACCCCTAAAAGGAGACAAAAGACAGCCCACTGAACTACACATTACTTTAGTCACCAGAGAAGTTTGGACAGTGTGTGCCCAGATACCACTTGGTGAGAAGAAGATTCTCCTCCTCTCCAGGCCCAGGTAATAAATAGATCCTCATCCCCAGGAGAAGGCATGGCTGTTTCACACAAGGGTAGAAGTGTGTGTGGAAACCAGAGATCCACCTGGGAGCCTTCTGGTTTCCCTTGCCCCATTGTAAGTGTGAGCAGAATCATCCAGCAATTCAGCCTGAGAGGATTTGATTTCCAAGGGCCCAGACCCGTCAGGGCAGAAGGTTTGAGTCACACTTGTGGGCAATCTCCCAAGGCCCTGCTCTTGTGTTCTGACATCCTCAGTACATTGGTGCTGAGGCCCTGCTTCCCATGGGCTGTTCCCAACGACTGATGGGTCATACCAGTGACACTAAGGCAGGACATTCCTAGGAGACAGGGGACTCCTCTGATGGCCAATTGTAGCTCGAGGACTCCTCTATGGCCTTGCTCAGTGAAGTCCTCAGATGATGCAGGCCTAGGCTGACAACTGGACTGCAACCTTGTGAGAGGCCCTGAGCCAGAAGCACTCAGGGAAACCTCTCCTGGATTTCTGATCATTGGAAACTGTGGGAGATGAGGAATATTTGTTGTTCTGAGCTGCTAAGTTTTACATAATTTGTTATGCATAGTAAATAACTAATACATTTTCACAAGACAGGATGCATTATTACATGTTAATTTGCATTTGCTCTAAATTTATCATCATCATTATTATTATTTTTGAGACAGGGTCTCACTCTGTCACCCAGGCTGGAGTGCAGTGGCATGATCACCATGCACTGCAGTGTCGACCTCCTGGGCTCAAGGGATCCTCTGACCTTAGCCTCCTGAGTAGCTGGGACTATAGTCATGAACCACCATGCCAGGCTAATTTTCTAGTTTTTTTGTAGAGATGAGAGTTTCACCATGTTGCCCAGGCTGATCTTGAACTTCTGGAGTCAACAAGTCTGCCTTCCTCTGCCTTCCATAGTGCTAGGATGGCAGGCGTGAGCCACCACCCCTGCCTAACTTAATTATAAGACATTAAACATGTAACTTAGTTTTAAAAGGAAAGGAGAAGTTCCATGGCTGAAGAGGATGTATTTTATTATCGTTCACAATGATCACTTTACTTGAACTTCAATTTCCAACTGTGTCCCAATTAAACACAAAAGGAAGATTCATCCCTTGCTAGAGTGATTCTATGATGGCCCCAACAACCACCTCCTGGTCATTCACCTTCCCCCAGTTATTCAACCAACTCTAATGTAGGTGCTGCTGTGAAGGAATTTAGCAGACATAATAAAGGGGCTCAATTAGTTGACTTCAGGCTGGGTTTATGCTGCTTGGACTGTCCTAATCAGGAGAGTCCTTGAAAGGACTGGGTTCTTCCTGAGCATAGAGATTCACAGTGTGAGAGGGATTCAGCATGAGGGGTTTCCTCCACTGTGGGCTTTGAAAATGAAGGGGCTGTGTAGGAAACAACACTGGTGGGCACCAGGAATTGAGTACAGCCCTCCCTGTTCTCTACATTGACAGCCAGCAAGGAACAGGGACCTCAGTCTTAAAACTGCAAGAAAGCACATTCTGCCACCTCTGTATAAGCCTAAAGGAGGATTCAAAATGAAGACTCAGATTTGGGAAGCCTGGAACAGAGATTCCATCTACATCATGCCCAGATTTCTGACTAAGGTACTATAAACAGATAAATGGGTGTTTTTTGGCCAGGCGTGGTGGTGCACTCCTGTAATCCTAACATTTGAGGAGCTGACACAGGAGGATCACTTGCAGCCAGGAGTGTGAGACCAGCCCAGGTAATACAGTGAGACACTCGTCTCTACACTTTTTTTTTTAATTAGCTGGGTGTGGTGGCACTTGTCTGCAGTCCTGTCTACTCTGAAGACTGAGGCAGGAGGATTCCTTGAGCCCAGGAGTTTGAGGCTGCAGTGAGCCATGATCATGTGACTGCACTTCACGCTGGATGACAGTTTTTAGAGACTCTGTCTCTAAAAACAAATAAATGAATACAATAAATAAAAACAAATAAATAAATACAATAAATGGGTGTTGTTTAAAGCCAATGTTTGTGATAATTTTTTACACAGTCTTATAAAATTCATACACAGGCTCAACAGACTAATGGAATGAACTGATGAATTGATATATACACTAGTTACATAAAATAAAATCTGAACTTTTTCAGTGTTTTGCATTTTATAATTATC
The DNA here is from genome assembly GCF_000001405.40 of Homo sapiens. NCBI lineage: Eukaryota > Metazoa > Chordata > Mammalia > Primates > Hominidae > Homo > Homo sapiens. Next base: position 1,260,548 of record NT_167245.2, read on the forward strand.
TGTGATGCAATTTAATATACTCATATTTCATTCATTCAGTCAACAAAAATTAATTTAGTCCCTACAATGAACCAGGTATCCCCTCATATGCTCACGTGCCTGACATTCTAGAAGCTTCACAAGACCAAGGTGGAGCCACTGGAGTGTTTTAGGTGGAGAAATGACACACTTTGACTCACATTAGCAGGACCACTATGGAGAGAACAGTCACGTAGCAGGTAACGGGAGAGTGCCAGTGTCACAATTCAGGAGTGACAGTGTGATGGGGACTAAGGGGAGAGGAGGGGCTGAGTGATAAGAGGGACGGAGGGAAGGGCTGGAGAAGCAGTAGGTGAGGAAAAGGAGTAGAGGGATAGAATTCAAAAGCAGCACAACTCTTAGGTTTGAACACTTTTTTTAATGGTATTTCAATAGATCCATCTACAGAGCCTCGCAGGGTGTTACTTGCAGTTGGCCTTTAATACCTTAAGTGGGTCTGCTTAAAAACTAATTGTTTTTATGTTAATCAGGTTTTAAAAATACTAAGTGTTCCTAAGAAATATACACACCACTTAGATGTGGATACTTCCTAAAAACAGGCAGTGCATGAGCACTGGTGATGGACATTGTGACTGCATCGAGCGCTTGCAACTTTGAGGTGAATGAAGTCTGTACTGACTCCTGGTTGCAACACATAGGAACACAGTGGCTACTTTGTATTGAGGAGATGTCCTGGACTCACAGAAACTCAGGGCTATGGAATAAAGGTAAATTTAAAACACCACAAGCGGGAGTCACAGATACCTTGTTTGCAAAAGTGAAACTTAGGAGCTTTGTGAGTCCTGTTGTAATGCTTTTAGACACTTTATATATCAAGGGGCCAAAGTCACATGTTTTTACCGATTAGATTCCTGATCATTCAGGGGTTACCAAGATTCTGCTACCCACTGTAGTTAATACACAAAAAGCAAACTGGTCTCTATACTATCTCATGCACCCAGGCACAACTTTTCCAGATTTAAAGAAAAAGAAAAAAGAAATAAAAGAAAAAAACCTCTGTCTCTACACCTCCATTCCCAGGGAGAGCTCCCTCTCTGGCACCAAGCTCCCTGGGGTGAGTTTTCTTTTTGAAGAGTCCAGGAGAACAGGTAAGCAGTGGGGAAGCAGGGAGTCCATTTCAGGGACAGGAATTCCCGGATGAAAAGTGAAAGGAGAGGGACGGGGCCCAAGCTGAGGGTTTCTTCCTGGTTTCTCGGACAGCTCCTGGACCAAGACTCAGGGAACATTGAGACAGAGCGTTTGTCACAGGAGGAGCGGGGTCAGGGCGAAGTCCCAGAGCCCCAGGCATGGCTCTCAGGGTCTCAGGCCCCGAAGGCGGTGCATGGGCTGGGGAGGTGCAGCATTGGGGATTCCCCATCTCCGCAGAGTTTCTCTTCTCCCTCTCCCAGCCTGCGACGGGTCCTTCTTCCTGGACACTCACGACGCGGACCCAGTTCTCACTCCCACTGAGTGTCGGGTTTCTAGGGAAGCCAATCAGCGTCGCGCGGCCCCGGTTCTAAAGTCCCCACGCACCCACCGGGACTCGGAGTCTCCCCAGACGCCGACGATGGGGTCATGGCGCCCCGAACCCTCCTCCTGCTGCTCTCGGGGACCCTGGCCCTGGCCGAGACCTGGGCGGGTGAGTGCGGGGTCAGGAGGGAAACGGCCTCTGCCGTGAGGAGCGAAAGGTCCACCTGGCTGGGGCGCAGGACCCGGGGAGCCGCGCCGGGAGGAGGGTCGGGCGGGTCTCAGCCCCTCCTCGCCCCCAGGCTCCCACTCCATGAGGTATTTCAGCACCGCCGTTTCCTGGCCGGGCCGCGGGGAGCCCAGCTTCATTGCCGTGGGCTACGTGGACGACACGCAGTTCGTGCGGGTCGACAGTGACGCCGTGAGTCTGAGGATGAAGACGCGGGCGCGGTGGGTGGAGCAGGAGGGGCCGGAGTATTGGGACCTACAGACACTGGGCGCCAAGGCCCAGGCACAGACTGACCGAGTGAACCTGCGGACCCTGCTCCGCTACTACAACCAGAGCGAGGCGGGTGAGTGACCCCGGCCCGGGGCGCAGATCACTTACTCCCCGCTCCATGCCTCACGGACGGCCCTGGTCCCCTGAGTCTCCGGGTCCAAGATCGACCCCGAGGCTGCGGGACCTGCAGAGATCCTCGACCCGGGAGAGCCCCAGGCGCCTTTACCTGGTTTCATCTTCAGTTGAGGCCAAAATCTCCGCAGGTTGCTAGGGTCCGGGCCAGGGCTCGGTGGGCGGGGCTGACCGCGGGAACTGGGCCAGGGTATCACATCCTCCAGGGAATGTTTGGCTGCGACCTGGGGCCCGACGGGCGTCTCCTCCGCGGGTATGAGCAGTATGCCTACGACGGCAAGGATTACATCGCCCTGAACGAGGACCTGCGCTCCTGGACCGCCGCGGATACCGCGGCTCAGATTACCCAGCGCAAGTATGAGGCGGCCAATGTGGCTGAGCAAAGGAGAGCCTACCTGGAGGGCACCTGCATGGAGTGGCTCCGCAGACACCTGGAGAACGGGAAGGAGACGCTGCAGCGCGCGGGTACCAGGGGCCATGGGGAGCCTGCTCGATCTCCTGTAGATCTCCCGGGCTGGCCTCGCACAAGGAGGGGAAGAAAATGGAAACACCACCAGAATATCGCCCTCCCTCCTGTCCTGACGGAGAGGAATCCTCCTGGGTTTCCAGATCCTGTATCAGAGATTGACTCTGAGGGCCCACCCTGCTCTTCCTGGGACAATTAAGGGATGAAGTCTCTGAGGGAGTGGAGGGGAAGACAATCCCTGGAAGACTGATCCGCGGTCCCCTTTCACCCCACAGCAACCTTGGGCACCAGGACTTTTCCTCCCGGGCCTTGTTCTCTGCCTCACACTCAATGTGTCGGAGTCTGACTCCAGCTCCTCTGAGTCCCTTGGCCTCCACTCAGATCAGGACCAGAAGTCCCTGCTACCCTGCTCAGAGACTAGAACTTTCCAAGGAATAGGAGATTATCCCAGGCGCCTGTGTCCAGGCTGGTGTCTGGGCTCTGTGCTCCCTTCCCCACCCCAGGTGTCCTATTCATCAGGATGGTCACATGGGCGCTGCTGGGGTGTCCCATGAGGAATGCAAAGTGCCTGAGTTTTCCGACTCTTCCTTTCAGACCCCCCCCAAGACACACGTGACCCACCCCCCTCTCTGAACATGAGGCATAACGAGGTCCTGGGTTCTGGGCTTCTACCCTGCGGAGATCACATTGACCTGGCAGCGGGATGGGGAGGACCAGACCCAGGACATGGAGCTCGTGGAGACCAGGCCCACAGGGGATGGAACCTTCCAGAAGTGGGCGGTTGTGGTAGTGCCTTCTGGAGAGGAACAGAGATACACATGCCATGTGCAGCACAAGGGGCTGCCCAAGCCCCTCATCCTGAGATGGGGTAAGGAGAGAGATGGGGGCGGCCATGTCTCTTAGGGAAAGCAGGAGCCCCTCTGGAGACCTTTAGCAGGGTCGGGGCTGGGTCCTGGAGGTCAGAACCCTCACATTCCCCTCCTTTCCCAGAGCCCTCTCCCCAGCCCACCATCCCCATTGTGGGTATCATTGCTGGCCTGGTTCTCCTTGGAGCTGTGGTCACTGGAGCTGTGGTCACTGCTGTGATGTGGAGGAAGAAGAGCTCAGGTGGGGAAGGGGTGAGGAGTCGGGTTTGAGTTTTCTTGTCCCACTGGGGGTTTCAAGCTCCAGGTAGAAATGTGTTCTGCCTGGTTACCGGGAAGCACCATCCACATTCATGGGCCTACCCAGCCTGGGCCCTGTGTGCCAGCACTTACTCTTTTGTAAGCACCTGTGACAATGAAGGACAGATTTCTCACCTTGATGATTGTAGTGATGGGGATCTGACCCCAGTAATCACAGGTCAGGGGAAGGTCCCTGCTGAGGACAGACCTTAGGAGGGCAGTTGGTCCAGGACCCACATCTGCTTTCCTTGTTTTTCCTGATCCTGCCCTTGGTTTGCAGTCACACATTTCTGGAAACTTCTCGAGGTTCCAAGACTAGGAGGTTCCTCTAGGACCTCATGGCCCTGCTACCTTCCTGGCCTCTCACAGGACGTTTTCTTCCCGCAGATAGAAAAGGAGGGAGCTACTCTCAGGCTGCAAGTAAGTATGAAGGAGGCTGATCCCTGAGATCCTTGGGATATTGTGGTTGGGAGCCCATGGGGGAGCTCACCCACCCCACAATTCCTCCTCTAGCCACATCTCCTGTGGGATCTGACCAGGTTCTGTTTTTGTTCTACCCCAGGCAGCCAAAGTGCCCAGGGCTCTGATGTGTCTCTCACGGCTTGTAAAGCTGAGACCCTGGGGAGGCTGATGTGTGTGGGTTGTTGGGGTAACAGTGGATATAGCTGTGCTATGGGGTTTCTTTGACTTGGATGTATTCAGCACATGATGGGCTGTTGAAGGTGTGACCCCTCACTGTGAGTGATATGAATTTGTTCATGAATATTTTTTCTATAGTGTGAGACAGCTGCCTTGTGTGGGACTGAGAGGCAAGATTTGTTCATGCCTTCCCTTTGTGACTTCAAGAACCCTGACTTCTCTTTCTGCAAAGGCATCTGAATGTGTCTGTGTCCCTATAGGCATAATGTGAGGTGGTGGGGAGACCAGCCCACACCCGTGTCCACCATGACCCTGTTCCCCACACTGACCTACATTCCTTCCCCGATCACCTTTCCTGTTCCAGAGAAGTGGTGCTGGGATGTCTCCATCTCTGTCTCAACTTCATGGTGCACTGAGCTGTAACTTCTTACTTCCCTATTAAAATTAGAATCTGAGTATAAATTTACTTTTTTCAAATTATTTCCATGACGGGTTGATGGGTTAATTAAAGGAGAAGATTCCTAAAATTTGAGAGACAAAATAAATGGAAGACATGAGAACCTTCCAGAGTCCACGTGTTTCTTGTGCTGATTTGTTGCAGGGGAGGAGAGTAGATGGGGCTGTGCCCAGTGTGTGCTCAGGCCACCATGGGCTTTATGTGGTCACAGCTCACCTGGGTCATCTTTGCTGCTCCACTGTCCTTGGCCCTTCAGTAGAACCTTGTCCCACCAGGACCTGTGATCACAGGGACTTGGATGTCACCTAGGGTGGTCCCTACACATCGAAGTCCTTCCGGTATGAAGAGACAAATTTTCAGTCCCCTGTATCTTTTGCCCTCCTTCCAGGTCTCTTTCCTGGATTGTATTTTCCATCTTTTTCCCCAGCCTTCTTAAAGGAAGCAGATTCTGAAATTTGCAGAGAGGAGGGGTCCCATAGTTTCTCATCGTAGGTAACTTTCTGTTGGAACTCCTCTTCTGCTTTCCTACTCTTCTTCCTGCCTGAGTTGTAGTAATCCCAGTGCTGGCTCCAATCCAAACTCATGCATTTATAAAGCAGAGTCTGATTTAGATTTATATGGGGTTGGAAAATTGGACCCACAAGGCTAGGATTATCTTTCCTGAACAGAAAAATATGGCTGTGCGCTGCAGTGTGCAGGAGGGTTGGTGTGGGAGGAGGTGGGAAGGACACACAAGCAGCCCTGGTGAGAAAAGCACTGGCAGCACTGATGTTGGTGTGAGATGATGTTGTTCTTTAGCTACGTTAATAAAGATATTGCCTTTAGAATACAGAGGTGCTCTACAGTGATCATTCATTCAACTGACATTTGTTGTCTGCTAGGTATATGACTGTTTTTGCATTTAGAAAACATCATTAAAGTAAAAACAGAAAAATTTCTGGCCTTGTGGTGTATACGTTCTAGATGCAAGCTTGTCCAACCTGCAGCTCTCGGGCTGCGTGTGGCCCGGGACAGCTTTGAATGTAAGAAGTTTTTTTGCTTATCTGTGGTAGCAAATATCATGAAAATTATGCACGCACATGTTTTTCTTTTTTCTATTCTTTCTGCTCATCAGCTGTCATTAGTGTATTTTATGTGTGGCTCAAGACAATGCTTATTCTTCCCAACTGGCCCAGGGAAGCCAAAAAATTGGACACCTCTGTAGGCAGATGATAGATATAGTATAAGCAGAGTAGGAACAGAAAATGCTTGAGTTAGAAGGTGGCAAGTGCTGTGTGGCAGGTGATCCAGAGGGTGGGCTGTGGGGACAGGAAGGTGGCTGTTGTGCTGGGTGGTCAGCATGGGCCTTGTTGCAAATGTGACCTTGGAGTAAAGATTTGAGGGATGTGAGGAGTTGTCTACAAGGATGTCTGGGAAAGTTCTTTTCAGGCAGGGGAACCTTCAGTGCAGATGCACTAGGGCAGGAAATTGTCTGTGTTCCTGGAAGGAGGAAGAGGCCAGAAGGGCTGGACACAGAGAAACTGAAGTGAGGTCAAAGGTGTGGCTAGAGCAGGTAGCCCTGAAGGGTGTGGGAAGGGTGTTGACCTTTGCTCTGAATGACATGGGGAGGACAGTTTTGAAAAGTGGGACATGGTAGGGCTCATCCTTTGAAAGCTTCTTTCTGGCTGCTGTGCTGAGAACAGAATTGAGAGGTGGGGAACCAGTGATGCAGTGGGGAAAATGGTGGGAAAGGAGTACAGTATTCTAGGATGGACACGTTGCTTACCTTGACTAGGGTGTGAGCAGGGGAAATAGTGAGAAGTGAAGGGATTCTGGATGAATTTGAAGATGGACTCACAGCACTTGCTAATGGATGTGAGAAGAAGAATCAAGGACACCCACAGTATTGGACTGAGTGAGCAGAAGGGTGGAGCTGCTGTCAGTGGAGATAGGGAGACTCTGGCAGGAGTACACAGAGGAGAGGGCATCGCAGGCATTCAATGGAGGAGACATCTATGAGGAATGCAGGTGAGGGGCCCAGATGCCTCTGCAGCTACAGATTCATCATCCAATCACTCTCCTACTCCCACCACCCCTGTGTCTCAGAGCCAGAGCACTGATTCTCCCCTGGGCTGTGGGCACAGGTAGGTGAAAGTCAGGGAAGTTGTGGTCTGCTATTGGTTATAAGAAGTCACAGATCATTATGCTTTCTCAGATAATTAAAGAAATAATAAGAGAATGTGTAATTAGGACACTTAGAAGACTACAATAATGCAAAGGTTTTTATTCATCTAAAGAAGGTAACATAAGAAAAATAGTTGAGCAAGAAAGAGATAATATTAGAAGGCAGCAAATGACAATGGACAGACTTAAACCCAATGAGGTCAATAATTACATTAAACATAATGGACTCAGACACTCCAATTACAAGACAAATAGTGCAGGGGGGTAAAAATAAATAACTAAATAAATAATCATGGGCTGTTTACAAAAGACATAATTTCAGTAGAAGGTAAAGAAAAGTTGAAAGTAAAAGGATAGAGAATACCAGACAAACATTCATGAAAGACCACATGGAGACGCCATTTAGAAAAATTACAGGATATGAGTCTCCTGAGACATAGAGTACACGTAGACAGCTCACAAGGTCTTTTTCCCTTTTTTCAGAGACAGGGTCTGTTGCCCAGGTTGAAATGCAATGGTGATATCATACCTTACTGTAACCTCAAACTCCTGGGCTGGAGCAATTCTCCTGCCTCAGCCTTCCGAGTAGCTAGGACCACAAGCCTGTGCCGCCACACCTGGCTATAATGTCTCATTTTCTCATTTGCTGTGGTGTGAACAAGGAAACAATACCATGCCATGTATTTGACTTGCAGCAGGTACACAACAAATGTCAGGTGAATTAAGAAATAAAACCACTTAGTAATCCAAGCCATATCCACATTTACATCTTACAGATGAGGAGCAACATCCCAGACAAGTAAAGTAAAATAAATTGATTTACATCATCCAGAGCAGAATCGAGAACACATTCCCTGTGCTAAAGGAATCAGAGCTCTACTAGGGGTCATAGCAGATATCATGCAAGTCACATATGTTAATTACTAGAACAGGAATTGATACATTTCAAGATATACTAAACAAAGGGTTTGGAAGGATTAACTGAATGCAGAAATAGAGGAAGAAAATGGATTTGTTTAAAAGATGGTTAGAATCTTTAAAGAAACAACATTTTTTTAAAGTGGCCTTATGTGGACCAAAGCAGAGATGAACTCAAGTGTCAGGTGGGAAAATGCCTAAGTGCAGCTTCTAGACCCAAGGGAGACCTAAAAATCCTGGGACATTTTCGGTTGTCACATGGGGATTGGTGGGAGGGGGTGAGTGGGGTGTTGCTGGCAAACCTCCCACAATGCACAGGACAGACCACTCCACAAGATTCTCTGTCCCAAATTGTTAATAGTGCTGCTGTTGAGAAACCCGCCCCAGAGGTAAATGCTGTAATGTCCTCACCATTTCACAGATTAAGAAACTGAGGCACCAGGGGGAGAAGTGTCAGTAAGACCTGAGCTGCAGGTTGAATCCAGGCCACTTGGCTACAGGGTCTTGGCTCCCCTGGTTAAGTCAGGGACCCAGTAGCCGACCACAAACAATCCCAGCTGCACGGTGCCTTCATGGTCTGTGGGCGCCTTCATGGTCTGTGGCGCCCCCTGGTGTTGACACTGGGCCTGTGGCCAAATGAGGCTTGAGGGAAAAGGAAAAAACAGGTTTGGGTAGGGGGATACTCTTTCAGGCTCTCCAGATTTCCAGCCACGACTTACGCTCAGAAAAAATAATGTCCACCTTAATTATCTCTCCAACCCTGTTTTTCCCTGTCCCGGCTAGTTCCCTCCCTTGACTCCATCAACATCGGCACCTGCCAGACGCCCACCACCCACCATGTAAGGAGTGAAAAGGCCCCAGGACTAAATGACAAGACGAGGTTCCACCCCAGCCATCCCTCCCCTCCTAGAGCTCTAGCTCTGTGCCTTTAGTGCTTAGGCTCTTAACCTGGGGTCCAGGAACCCACTTTCCTATGACACTGCGTGAAGAAGTGATGTTACACGCACACATGACTTCACTACAGGACATTGGATATTAATATTCATCAGATCAGCTAGAGGCCCAAGATACCACTCTTCTCCCAACAGTTTGTGATCCTCTGAATTAAAGAAAGGGTAGGGATTGAGGGAGGCCCTAACTCCAAATCTTCTACCACTTCTAGCGAAGTGCTGAGAAGAAGTGCAAGGTACTCAACCTGCTCTGGGGATACAGCAGGAAAGCAGAGTGTTTACGGATTTCACATTCCATCAAAGAAAATCCATTTTGACAAAATATCCAAGTCACTTTTCTAAGCCCCAGGCAGCAGTTCAAACAAATAACATCAAAAAAACCAAAATCTTGGCCCAGGTGAAATCATTGAAGCTATAAAACTTTGTGAGACCTGTAGTTAGAGAGAAGGACAATTCAGTTTAGGGCTGCAGCAGAAAATTCCTATATCATATTGTGTTCTTCTTCATCATGAAGGTCCCCTGAAGGGACCTTCTCCCTTCAGCAGTGCATAGTGAGGCCATTTCCGTGCAAAAAGATAGAATCTCCTGGGATTCCTGATGTTTACACTTACTACTCACTCCTTCACTTTGTAGATGCCAACTTCACATTAGACATCTTTCAGTTAATTTCCTTACTCTGTCTAAGCAGAATATTTAAACTTCTTTCTGAAGCAGAAAACCAGGGACTGGTTATGTGAGCTATCACCCCACTCTGTGGCTCTCTTAAGCAATAAGCATAAGAGATTGTGGGCCAACAGAATTTGTAGCAAGGTAAACATAACCCTTCATTTCAGCCTATGTTTCAGCTTGTCTAGTGATGTTCCAGTCTTGCTCCAGTCTTAACATTTTAAAATTTATAATTTTACTTGAATATGATTTTATAAGAAGTCATATATATTCATTTCTGTTGAGTCTGTCAGTGAAAGCCTTCTCAAAACAACTGTGAAGTAAAGACAGGTAAATAAATGCATGGTGCTCCCATGTATTAATGCTCACTGCATCTTACAAATGTGTCAGCCCCACTGCAACAGATGGTGCATCAACAAATGGTGCTGGAAACCTGGATATCAACATGCAAAAGAATGATGCTGGAAAAAATTCATGTCCTTCCATTACACCCTTTTCAAAAATTAAGTCAGAATGACTCAAAGAACTAATCTTAAGAATTGAACCTGTAAAACCCTCAAGAAAATACTGAGGAAAATCTTATGGACATTAGAATTGGTAGTGGTTTCTTGGCTGGTGACCAATAGTACAAGTAATATAAGAAAAATGACAAATTAGAATGCATCAAAATTTAAAAACTTTTTTGCATCAAAGGACACTATTAAGAGAATCAAAAGAAAATGCACAGACTAGGAGGAAATATTTGCCAATCACATATCTGATAAAGAATTAATATCCAGAATATGTAAAGAACTACAATTCAACAATAGCAAAACAATCTCATTCAAAAATAAGTAAAAGACATGAATAGACAATTCTCCAAAGAAGATATACAATAAGGACATAAAAATAAGGAATGCTGGTCAGGCATGGTGGCTCATGCCTGTAATCCCAGTACTTTGGGAGGCCGAGGTGGGCGGATCACGAGGTCAAGAGATCAAGACCATCCCGGCCAACATGGTGAAACCCCGTCTGTACCAAAAAAATACAAATATTAGTTGGGCATGGTGGCAGGTACCTGTAGTCCCAGCTACTCAGGAGGCTGAGGTAGGAGAATCACTTGAACCTGGGAAGTGGAGGTTACAGCGAGCCGAGATTGTGCCACTGCACTCCAGCCTGGCAACAGAGCAAGACTCTGTTTCACAAAAAAAAAAAAAAAAGGAATGCCAATAAGGACATAAAAATATGGCAAACTTCACTAGGCCAAGTGTTGGTGAAGATATGGAGAAACTGGAACACTTGTACACTGCTGGTGAGAGTATACAGTGGTGCAGCCACCATGGAAAACAGAATAGTGATTCCTCAAGAAAGTAAAAATAGAATTACTATATGAGCCAACAATTCCACTTTTGGGCATACCCAAAAGAACTGAAAGCAGGAACTCACCCAGATATGTGTACACTCAGGCCCATAGCAGCACTATACCCAATATCCAAAAGGTGGAAGCAACCGAGTGTCCATCAGAGGATGACTGGATAAACAACCCACGGTGCACATAAGCATGGAATATTATTCAGCCTTAAAAGTGAATGAAATTCTAATTGGATGAGCCTTGAAAACACTATAAGTGAAATAAGCCAGAAATAAAAACAAATATGATATTTTACTTATATAAAGTAGCTAGAATAAGCAAATTCATAGAAACAGAAAATAGAATAGAGATTACCAGGGGCTGGGGGTAGGGAGAATGGGCAGTTATGGTTTAATGGGTACAGTTTCTGTTTGGGATGATGAAAATGTTCTGGAAATGGATATTGGCGGTGGTTACACAACACTGTAAATGTGCTTACTGCCACCAAATTGTACACTGAAAAAATGGTTAGAAGGTAAATTATATAGTATGCATGTTTTACCACAATTTACAAAAAATATATCAACACTAAATCCAATCACAGCTCTCATCGAGTTTTTTTATACTGGTGTTTCAACAAGCACATTGCCGCTGTGGAGGGGAGGGGTCCTTGGAGTTCTTATGCCACCATGTTCTTTGGTGTCACTTCTCAGCACAACTTTGGTGGTCAGAGCACAACTTGGTTTTATACATTTTAAGGGGACATGAGACAGTGATCAACATATGTAAGCTAAAGATTGATTCCGTCTGGAAAGGCGGGACAACTCGAAGCAAGGAGGGGGCTTCCAGGTCACAGATAGATGAGAGACAAATGGTTGCATTCTTTTGAGTTTCCGATTAGCCTTTCCAAATGAGGGAATCAGACATGTGTTTATCTCAGTGAGCAGAGGGGCGACTCTGAACAGATGGGAGGCAGGTTTACCCTAAGCAGTTCCCAGCTTGACTTTTCCCTTTAGCTTAGTAATTTTGGGGCCCCAAGATTTTATTTTCCTTTTACAGAACCATCAATACTTACAGAAAAAAAAAAACCCTGAATGTACACAAACCTCTATACCAAACTACCAATTTACAGAAAATACAGGTAATAGAAATACATTAAACCACACCTTGGCGTGCAATCCACAAAATGCAAACAATAGGAAACCTTACCATACAATATAAATTTCAAGGAGAAACCTATGGAACAAATGAGAACAAAAAACATATTTTTAAAGGTAAAACTAAACTATAATTTTGGATGATGAAAATATAAAGTCCAGCATAGGGAAGCAGTTCCTTTAGAATTTTAGTCACAATTAATGGAAGGGTACTGAAACCTGCTATTTCCCAGTTGAATAACAGGTCCTGGGGATATAGAAGGTCTTGCCACAAGTTGAATCCATAACTGCTGCTTTCCTGGTACCAGGGAGAACAGGTTTCCTATCAAGGACTGGGTAGGAGTGTTTGCCAGGCCTGTATCAGCTATTGCCCAAGTTTCCACTTTACAAAAGTGCCATGCATACATGCAACAACATAGTGCCTTCTCCATGCATCCCTTAAGAGATGAACTGCATGCTATCTTAGGGCCAGTACATTATGAGTCCAGTGCTGCCCCTATTGTGGAGCCCTCACAGGAGATGTCTCCAATGGTACATGAAGGCATGGCCCTCATTCCTGATAATGCTTGGTACTTAGATGCATTGAGCCAAGGTAACCCTGTGTATGGACAGTAGTAGCTGCACAACCACAGACAGTATCTGGTTTGAGATGGGAATGCAACAGAGCAGTCAATGGGCAGAACTCCAAGCTACATGGTTGGTTTGTACCCGTGAGCCACCACCTATAGTTCTCTGTACAGACAGTCTGGCAGTACTTAAGGGTCTTACAATTTGGCTTGCCCAAAGGGCCTGAGATGATTGGTATATAATTTAAAAATCCTTATGGGGAGCTGATATGTGGAAAGACATTTGGAAAAGTCTACAGGAACCCACTGTGGACCTAATTGCTTCAGCACACTGGTCAGATTCACCTCCCAGAAACATGGAGGCAGACATCCTAGCAAAAATTAGAATACTGAGCTAGTTGATTAGGTACATATCACAGTGGGGATTTCAGTGCATGAATGGGCTGCCAAATAGCAAAGGGAGCAGGATTGGCTCTCTGCTATGCAGATTTAGTGGTGGCGGTAGCAAACTGCTTAATTTGTTCCCGTCTGTACCTCTGCCACATCCCACATACACCTGGACATATACATAAGACAGCCACCCCTGTGACAGACTGGTAGATAGACTACATCAGACCCTTGCCAGTAATCTTGAGACGAAAGTATGCACTAACATGTGTATACACTGCCATGGGATTGTTGCAAGCTTTCCCTTGTAAGAGCAAACCAAACAGCCACCATCAGGGGCTTGGAGCAACTCAGTGTCATGTAAGGATACCCTCCACATATTGATAGCAATCGAGGCATGCATTTCACCAGACACGGTGTCCAAGACTGGATGCATGAAAGGGACATAGACTGGGTATTTCACTTACTGTATACTCCCCCAAGCAACAGGGTTGATTGAAAGGAAAAATGGTATTTTGAAGGCACAGTTTTGAGCACTCTCAAAATCCAATATCTTTCATAGTTAGACAAAGATTTTGCCTCAAGCCATTAGAAACCTTAATTTAGTTGAGACAAATATGGTGCTGGCACCACACCAATGACTCAGGACCACCACAGAGATGGATCCATTAACCATAATAGTAAAGAAAGTCCAACCAGATGCATCTCTGACCTGAGCAGATAAAAGGCCAATGGCAAAGGTTATTTAGAACTCCTCAAGATCTTGAGCCAGGGAGGAGACACTTGAATGGGGGTTGGACTAGCAACTTCCCCTATGTTGGATAGAGCATTTCTTTCCAGACAGCAAGGAATTCCCTACCAACTAAAGTGGTCTCCATTGATCCTGCTGAAGTCTGGGCCAAAACACTCCACATACCAATAAACTGGAACACAGTCCCTTTTAAGAAGCACCCTGGCTGGCCATTTGACATGGTCCTTTGCTGCCCCTGTAACCTTACACATAATACCAGCGCCTTTGCCCCTCAGGCAACATGTTTGGTGTGTACTCCCAGCCCACAATCCTATGTTCCTAATCAACAGAGATGGAGCTACCAGTAATTCTGTTTAATGGGGAAGAACTGCCCCACCAAATACCTACTAAACATTTTTAATTCCACCCATAGTCTTCTGTTCCTATTGTTGTTCTGCTCTATACCTCTTGGTTTGGTTCCTGAATAAACATGGTAAAGGGCATTTTTAATTCTGTGTCTTACACCTGGCATACATATCATCGCCTGTTGTTTGTGTTGTTGCTGTGGCCCCTGCTTAACAAGTAGAAAACAAATTGATAAAATGTGTCACTCACACCATCAAAATGTCACCCACAGCCCTCTCTGAAGGCTCAGGGACTATGGGGGAAATGTGAGTCCATGAGATTGTAAGAGCTGGATTAGAGGGCTGGGATGTGGAGAGAAAAGTGACTCCCTCTTGGATGCTAATTCTCTATGCTGACTTCTGATTAGCCCCAGTCCCAGGACTGACTCCTGATTCCCACTTTATTTACCATCCCTATTGTAAGAACATGTCAACCTTGATGTTATACAAATTCTAGGCTATGACACATTAGCATTCTTACCTGTTCTGGACAGTAGTAGCCTTTGTCTTGCACAGAGCATGTATACTCTTCCCCTGTGGTATATAAGCCCTGGGTGTGGGGGTAATAAGTGCAGAAACCTACCTGTCTTGCTGCCATCCAAGACCACGCTTCTGTCTGTAAGTTCCCCAATAAAACACTCTTTACTGACAACTAGATTTGTCTGTCTTGTTCCTTGGTTTATTGGCTCCTTTGGCATTTGGGGGGCACTTTGCATAGATGGCCCTTTCATGGAACAGAGGGTCTGTGTGGGGCTGGGAGCCCAAGTCAGCACTTGCAGTCAGAGCCTAGAACATGTGCTGAGGAGACAGAGCTAGACCTGTTAGCAGAGACAGACCTGTTAGCGGAGTGGATAGCTGGGCCAGCAGGTCTGAAGTAACGCTATGGAAGAGCAGGCCAGTAACAGCTGAAGAGCTTCAGAAACTCCCACTTCTAACAAGGTCACTTCCTCTAAGAGGGACTACTGTTGTATCATAGTACACAGCTGTCTCTGCCTGGCTGTCCTAGTAAATATGCAGCATTTGGGGGCATCCACACTACTGGAACAGTAGCCATGAGAAGAGTCCATTGTGCCAGCTTAATTGCACCCAACTGTACAATGAGAACATGGGGATCAGTGTGTTCTGCTACTTCTCTGCTTAGCATTCCTGATATACCTGCTTTACATAGGCACCATGTGGCACCGTGGTGTGTGCCTGTGCCACTTTGAATCACATTTGGGTATCTATTGGAAGGCTTCTTCGGGACTGTTGTGACACCAACTACACTATGGACTGATCCCTGTCAGAAGGTAACAAAGGGGCAAGGGACAGCATTTCCAGTCTAAGCCCTGGAATGTGCGTGGCATCAAACTGTTTTGCATTTGTGAGCAGGAATACAACTGCTGGACAACAGATATTCCATCAGCCAACAGAAACTGTGACTGGCTTTAAAGAAAATGGGCTTCCCTTGGTCTTGGGAACACAAGACTCAGCAGTATAGAAACAGAAATGGTTGCAGGTGGAGGAAGCACTTTCGCCGGAGTCAGGAAAGCATGAATAACACAAAATCTTCAGCTTTTCCTCCCTTCTCTCTCCTGAGCTTTCTGCACCTCTGCTGTAGCAGTGATGGCAGCAGTGTGGAGAACACAGCCTCAGGGAACAACCAAGGTCCAGGATCACTAGCAAAGGTTATGAGAAACTATGACTTCCTTTAGAAAAAAAAAAAAGGGAAATGAGAGTGCCCAAGGTCTTAGGAGAGGGCTGGTGCAGGCCTGGGGCATAGTAAATTCTTTAGCTTGTCTAGATTCACCATGCCAAGTGGGGAGGTTGCTTGGGTCAGACTATATTAAAGGACAGCATCTCCACCCTCCCCTAGAGGTCTCAGAATGTCCACTGACTGTGGCTTTAGTGGTCCTTGAACAGAAATTTGGTAACATGAAGAGTAGCAGATGCTGGCATGGTAAGATTACAAATGTGTATCAGAAGAATTATTTTGTGGGTAACAGAAAAAACAACATATAAAGAAACAAGTTAATACCATGAGAATGTCATTAGCCAAACTCAGAATGTGGATCATTCTACAGGACAAGTAACCTGGCTTTTTTGGGGAAACAGAAGCATAGGAGAGCCAGGGTGACACCATTTTAAAGTCAACTCCATCTTTCAACTAGCAAGGCATATTCCTTGCCAGTCACAACCCATGGTCATAAGAGGTTTACAGCTGATTAAACAACTTAATAATGCCTGCAAGAACAAACGCCTATGACAGACAACAGAATGTCCACATGTCCTGACGTCACATTATAATATATGCTTTTAAGATTATTATAGTCATGCTTTGATATACTAACTAAAATGCCAAGGATAACTTTCTTTAAATCAATAGGTCCTAAATTTTGTCATGCTGTCAGAGCACCCACACATAGACATTTAACTTAGCTTTTATGTAGATTAAACCCCTACATTAGAAGAGTTTACAACAAAGATGGTGCATTCTTCCTTTTGCTTTCTGAGGACACCTACTCTGTATCTGAGTAACTTTCAATAAACTATCTCCTTCTCACTGCACTCTGTGACTCACCTTTAATTCCTTCCTGTGCAAGATCCAAGAATACTCTTTTGGGGTCGGGATCGGGACCTGTTTTTCTGGTAACAGTTTCTCCAACAAATCAAAGCCTTGAGAAAAAAAAAATAGGTAGGGTGGGTGGTATGGTATAGAAGAACAGAGAATAATGAGACATAAGAAGCAATTGCAATGTGTGGACCTTCTCTAGCTTCTGTTTCAGACAGACCAATTGAAAAAGACAAGACAGATATTTGAATATGCATTGACTGTTTAGCAAAATTAGAGAACTGTTGTTAATTTTGTTAGTGTGAGAATAGCATGGCTTTATGTTTTTTAAAAACCCTATTCTGTGAAAGATGCATGCTGAACTATTTAACTGTGAAATTGTATGTAAAGGATTTGCTTTTACAATCCTCCAGAGATGAGTTTATAATGATATAAATGATGTGATAAATAAATCAATGGAGGAGAGGAGGCAAAATCTCTCCTGCAGAAGAACTCCAAATAAGGTAGGTAGATACTTTGTCCTTAAAGGAACAGCATTAACTCCCTCTTCTGGAAGTGTGAATTCTTGATATCATGTAATGAAAATGGTACCTCACTTGTGGCTTTCCTCCCCCCGAATCCATAACCTCTACTTATTATGAAAAAAAAAAAAAAAACAAAAAAAAAACACCGAATTCCAATAGAGGAACATTCTATAAAATACCTAACTAGTATTCCTCAATAACGTCTAGGTCATCAAAAACAAGGAAAATCTGAGGAATTGTCACAGCCAAGAGGAGCCTAAGGAGGCATGACAACCCCATGTAATAGGGTATCTTGAATGGGACCTTGGAGTAGAAAAATATTATTAGGTAAAACTCAAGGACACCTGAGTAATGTATGACTTTTGGTTAAAAATAATGCATCAATATTGGTTCAATAATTGTAAGAAATGAACCATACTAATGTTAGATGTTAATAACAGGAGAAACAACTTCTCAATTTTCCTGTAGTTAAAACTGTTCTAGAACTGAAGTCTATTTTTTAAAATTCTCCTGGAAAAAAGTGGAAACATATGAAATATGATGGACAAATGTTAGTAATTATTGAATGTGATGATGGATAATGAGAATTCATTATATAATTCTGTTTTTGTGTATTTGAAGTTTTCTATAATGGAAAGTTTGAGGCTGGGCACAGTGGCTCAAACCTATAATCCCAGCACTTTGGGAGGCCAAGAGTTCAAGACCAGCCTGGGCAATGTAGTGAGACCCCATCTCTACCAAAAAACAGAAGAATTAGCCAGGTGTGGTGGGCTTGCACCTGTAGTCCTAGCTACTCAGGAGGCTGAGGTGAGAGGATCACTTGAGCCCAGAAGGCCAAGGCTGCAGTGAGCCATGATGTCATTGTACTCCAGTCTAGGTGACAGAGAGAAACCTTGTCTCCAAAAATAAAAAATAAAAAAAGTTTGAACAAGAAATAAAGAAATATGGAGATAAGGATAAGAAGAAGCTATTTAAAGCACTAGAGTAGCTGCTTTTTTAAATTATGGTTAAAAAAATATATAATAAAATTTACCATTTTGCCATTTTTAAGTGTATAGTTCTATGACATTAAGTATATTCATGCTGTGTAACCATCACCACCCTCCATCTCCAGAACTTTTTCATCTTCCCAAACTAAATGCTAGGTCTATTAAGCAACATCTCCTCACTCTCTCCTCCTCCCCAGCCCCTGATAACCTCCATTCTACATTCTGTCTATGAATCTTACTAAACTAGGTGAATCATGTAAGTGGATTCATACAATATTTTTCCTTTTCAGTCTGATTTATTTAATCTAGCTTCATGTCTTCAAGGTTCATACATAATACAGGAAAATAATTTCCTTCCTTCTTCTGAAAAATATTCCACTGTATGGATCTACCATACTTTGTTCATCCATCGATGGATGTATACTCTGTTGCTTCTACCTTTTGGCAGTTGTGAATAATGTTGTTATAAACATGATGTACAAATATCTGCTTGGTCTCTGCTTTAACTTCTTTTGGGTCTGTACCCAGAAGAGGAATTGCTGGATCATATGTCAATTCTATGTTTAATTTTTTGAAGAACAAAAAGTGGCCGCTTCTACAAAACAGAAATTTTCAGATTAGGAGATGTGGGACAGGGAAAAATTCCTGTCTCTGAAAAGTTAAGAGTTTTCACTATAAGCTTTGTAGAACCATTTTTAAATAATATATGATAAAAATGAAGTAAAGTATGCAATAAAACTCATCTTGTGCTAAGTACTGGAGATACATGGAGGGAGCCCTCAGTCCTCTGGGGGAAGAACCTGGTTATAGAACAGTGTGATCACAGGTGCAACACAGAGAAGACTCCAGGGGCAAGCACAGAAAATAGCCATCAAGGGAGATTCTTTGCACGCCATGCAGAAGTGCCCTACAGGAGGTGATGTGGGAGTGAAGGAGGAAAATATGACATTCTGAGTTGGAGAATTGGAAGATTAAACTTGGAATGATGTCAGCACTGAGATTCTGGGATCATATTGTACAACTGGCCCCATCTCAGCACTAACACTGTGAAATCTTACCTTTCTTATGTCTTCAAATTGTGGCCCTATATTTAGCTTCTATATCTTTCTTTGACTAAATCTCAAAACTAAAATTGGTCCTGATTCCAGGGGAGGTGTTTCTCTGACTCCTCTCTTTTGAATCTCATAGCCTGACATTTTCTCTTCATCTTGAAGACCATATTCAGGAGGGACCCTAGGAACTCTGTATCTCAGCATGTGAGGCTTCAGGCCAAGGGGTGCTAATTTGATTCTGAAAGATCTTATCTGCCTCCAGCGCCATAAGGTCCTGATGAAATGTCCAGCATCTTTGTGGAAATTCAAGTGTCTCCATACAGCATTATATGTCTTGGAGATTATGTATATGAAAAGCTTTACAGATAGGTGTGTCTCAGTGATGCTGTGCAGAGTAACCTGTGGCCTAAGTCAAGTCAGAAAATGCTTTTGACTCTATATTTCTCAAAAATGTAAGTCTTAAAATTTGGCTATGGATGGGAAAATATTACATAATTGAAAGGATAAATATAAGTATGCCAATCAGCCAAAAACACTGCAAATGTTTAATGCAGATTTAAGTTTTCCCTCAAAAACTGTTAATAAATTAATAGTGCAGCTTACAAATGATGAAAAGAGCTGAGACGTTTAAAAAAACTTTCCAAGTGTCAGGTCCTGGTACTTTACATTTATTCTACCTCCTAATCCTTATACTAGGTCAAAGCTCATTTTATGTCTTCAAGATTCAGATGTAACACTGGGAATGAGAAAGGTTAATATAAGTGATATGTCCAGGACTATACTTCTAGTAATTATAGCTCACTGATGGAGAGAACATTAAAATCTGTTTGGCCTTCACTTAAAAACAAATAATATTTGTGTTATAGAAGCAAGACCTTTTTAGTCACAAGTTAATAATTTTAAAGAAAAGATTCAACATGTAAATTTATCTGGAAAGGCCAGGGGTGAGGCTGCCTAGAGACATGATTAGATTCGGAGATACATTTGTCATCAGATCTCTCTGTACTTCTAAAGAAGATAGCCAATATCAGCTTATCAGCTCCAACTCCTCTCATATTATTCTACCTTAACAGCTTCAGCAGAAAAATAGACATCTTTCTCACAATGTTCATAAATAAAGAACCAGAGAAGATGACCTTTGGACCAATACCTGTTGTTATGGAGATGTGGTACAGTGTGGGAAACTCTGATTGGTCAGGGCTGGGTCATGTTATTTCCTCATCCCCTGGTCCATTATATTATTTCTTAAGTTATTTAAAGTCATGGCTACTATTTTTATTTATTTTAATTGACATAATTATACATATTGATATAGTACAGTGTGATATTTTGATACATGTATACAATGTGTAATAAGCAAATAAGGGTATTTAGCCTATGCATCACATCAAACGTTTACCATTTCTTTGTGATGGAAACATTCAAAATCATATCAAAAAGATAATCCACCACAATCAAGTGGGTTTCATACCAGGGAAGAAGGGATGGTTGAACACACTCAAGTCAATAAATGTGACACACCACATAAACAGAATTAAAAACAAAAATCACATGATCATCTCAATAGATGCAAAAAAAACATTCAACAAAATCTGGCATCCTTTATGATTAAAGCTCTCAGCAAAATCGGCATACAAGGAACATACCTCAATGTAATCAAAGCCATCTATGAGAAACCCACAGCCAACATAATACTGAGTGGGGAAAAGCTGAAAGCATTCCCTCTGAGAACTGGAACAAGACAATGATGCCCACTCTCACCACTTCTCTTCAACACAGTCCTGAAAGTCCTAGCCAGAGCAGTCAGACAAGGGAAAGAAATAAAGGTCATCCAAATCGGTAAAGAGGAAGCCAAACTGTCACTGTTTGCTGATATGATTGTATACCTAGGAAACTCTAAAGACTCCTCCAAAAAGCTCCTAAAACTGATACAAAAATTCTGCAATATTTCTGGATACAAAATTAATGTACACAAATCAGTAGCTCTCCTATACTCCAACAGTGACCAGGCTGAGAATCAAATCAAGAACTCAATCCCTTTTACGACAGCTGTAAAAAAAAAAAAAAAAAAAACAAACTTAGAAATATACCTAGCCTAAGGAGGTGAAAGACCTCTACAAGGAAAACTACAAAACTCTGCTGAAAGAAATCACAGATGACACAAGCAAATGGAAACACATCCCATGCTCACGGATGGGTAGAATCAATATTGTGAAAATTACCATACTACCAAAAGAAATCTATAAATTCAATGCAATTCTCATCAAAATACCACGAACATTCTTCACAGAACTAGAAAAAAAATCTTAAAATTCATATAAAACCCAAAAAAAGCCTGCATAGCAAAAGCGAGACTAAGCAAAAAGAACAAATCTTGAGGCATCACATTACCTGATTTCAAACTATACTATAAGGCCAAAGTCACCAAAACAGCATGGTACTGGTATGAAAATGGGCCCATAGACCAATGGAACAAAATAGAGAACCCAGAAATGAACCCAAATACTTACAGCCAATTGTTCTTCGACAAAGCAAACAAAAACATCAAGTGGGGAAAGGACACCTTATTGAACAAATGGTGCTGGGATAATTGGCTAGCCACATGTAGGAGAATGAAACTGGATCCTCAACTCTCACCTTATACAAAAATCAACCAAGATGGATCAAGCACTTAAAACTAAGACCTGAAACTATACAAATTCTAGAAGATAATATTGAAAAAAACCTCCTAGACATTGGCTTAGGCAAGGATTTCATGACCAAGAACCCAAAAGCAAAATGCAACAAAAACAAAGATAAATAGCTGGGACCCAATGAAACTAAAGAGTGTTTGCACGGCAAAAGAACAGTCAGCAGAGTAAACAGACAACCCACAGAGTGGGAGAAAATCTTCACAATCTATGCATCTGACAAAGGACTAATATCCAGAATCTACAACAAACTCATACAAATTAGCAAGAAAAAGAACAAACAATCTCATCAAAAAGTGGGCTAAGGACATGAGTAGACAATTCTCAAAAGAAGATATACAGCTGGCCAACAAACATATGAAAAAATGCTCAACATCACTAATGATCAGGGAAACGTAAATCAAAACGCCAATGTGATACCACCTTATATCTGCAAGAATGGCCATAATCAAAAAATCAAAAAATAATAGATGTTGGCATGGATGTGGTGAACAGGGAACACTTCTTTTTTTTTTTTTTTTTTTTTTTTTTTTGAGACGGAGTCTGGCTCTGTAGCCCAGGCTGGAGTGCAGTGGCGCAATCTCGGCTCACTGCAAGCTCCGCCTCCCAGGTTCACACCATTCTCCTGCCTCAGCCTCCCGAGTAGCTGGGACTACAGGCGTCACTGTGTTAGCCAGGATGGTCTCGATCTCCTGACCTCGTGATCCACCCTCCTCGGCCTCCCAAAGTGCTGGGATTACAGGCTGGAGCCACCGTGCCTGGCCTGAACAGAAAACACTTCTACACTGCTGATAGGAATGTAAACTAGTACAACCACTATGGAAAACAAGGTGGAGATTTTTTTAGAGAACTAAAAGTTGAACTACCATTTGATCCAGCAATCCCACAATCCCACAATGGGTATCTGCCCAGAGGAAAATAAGTCATTATATGAAAAAGATACTTGCACACACGTTTATAGCAGCACAATTCACAATTGCAAAAATGTGGAACCAACCCAAATGCCCATCAATCAATGAGTGGATAAAGAAACTACTCAGCCACAAAAAGGAATGAATTAATGGCATTCACAGCAACCTGGATGCGATTGAAGATTATTATTCCAAGTGAAGTAACTCAGGAATGGAAAACCAAACATCGTATGTTCTCACTCTTAAGTGGGAGCAAAACTATGAGGATACAAAGGCATAAGAATGACACAATGGACTCTGGGGACTCGGGGAAAGGGAGGGAAGAAGGTGAGGGACAAAAAGCTACAATTTGGGTGCAGTGTGTACTGCGTGGGTGATGGGTGCACATTTGCTCCTTTTAAAATGATACTATTATTATTTTGCTGTTGTTTGAGTTTCTTGTAAATTCTAGCTATTAATCCCTTATCAGATGAATACTTTGCAAATACTTTCATTCTCTAAGTTGCTGTTTTATCTCTGTTGATTGTTTTCATTGCTGTACAGGAAATTTTTAGTTTGATGTAGTCCCATTCATACATTTTTGCTTCTCTTGCCTGTGCTTTCAAGGTCTTAATCACAAAATCTTTCCTGCGTCCAACACTCTAAAGTGTTTTCTGTATGTTTTCTCCCAGTAGGTTCATAGTTTTGGGTCTTGCATTTAAGTCCTTAACTCATTTTCAGTTGATTTTTGTGAATGGTGAGAGATAGCAGTCTAGTTTCATACTTCCTAATATGGATATCCAGTTTCCCCAGCATCATTTATTGAAGAAACTGCCCTTTCCTCAGTATATGTTCTTGGTGATTTTGTTAAAAATAAATTGAGTGGCTGGGCACGGTGGCTCACGCCTGTAATCCCAGCACTTTGGGAGGCTGAGGCAGACGGATCACGAGGTCAGGAGTTTGAGACCAGCCTGACCAACATGGTGAAACCCCGTCTCTACTAAAATACAAAAATTAGCCAGGCGTGATGGCACACGACTGTCATTCCAGGCTGAGGCAGGAGAATCGCCTGAACTCAGTAGGTGGAGGTTGCAGTGAGCCGAGATCGCACCACTGCACTCCAGCCTGGGTGACAGAGCGAGACTCCGTCTCAAATAAAAAAAAAAGAAAAAAGAAATTAACTGTAAATATATGGATTTATTTCGGGGTTCTCTATTCTGTCTCATTGGTTTATGTGTCCGTTTTTATGCCAATACCTTGCTTGCCATTTTGGTTACTATAGCTGTATATTTTGAAGTCAGGTACTGTGATACTTCCAGCTTTGTTCTTTTTGCTCAAGATTGTTTTAGCTATTCAGGGTCTTTTGTGGTTCCATACAAATTTTAAGATTTCTTTTTCTATTTCTATAAAGAATGACATTGGTATTTTGATAGGTATTGCATTGAATCTGTAGATTGGTTTGGGTAGTATGGTCACTTTAACAATATTAATTCTCCCAATCCATGATAATGGAATATCTTTCAATTTTTTGTGTCCTTTTCTATTTGTTTCATTAGTATTTTATAGTTTTCATTACATACTTGGTTAAATTTATTCCCATGCTTTTTTATAGTTACTGTGAATGAGATTTCTTTCTTGATTTTTCATCATTTTGAGTTTGCCTCTATGGCCTTTATTGTGTTTAGGTACATTCCATCTATACCTAATTGGTTGGAAGTTTTTATCATGAAGTGATATTGAATTTTATCAAATGCTTTTTCTGCAGCTATAGAGATGATAATATTAGTTTTGTCTTTCATTCCACTAATATGCTCTATCATGTTTATTGATTTGTATGGAAAGTCTACAGTTTTTTTATGTTGATTTTATATTCTGTAAATTTACTAAATTTGTTTATCAGTTCTGAGAGTTTTTTGATGGAGTCTTTAGGTTTGTGTATAAATAAGATTATGTCATCTGCAAACAGCAACAATTTGACTTCCTCTTTTCCAATTTGGATGCCTTTTATTTCCTTCTCTTGCCTAATTGCTCTGGGTCGGACCAGTACTATGTGTTTTTGTTGTTGTCATTGCTGTAATCTTTTAAAATTTTCTATCCATTTCCATAGGAATCAGTCTAGTACTATGTTAAATTTGGTAAAAGCAGGCATCCTTATCTTGTTCCAATTCTTAGAGGGAAATCTTTCAACTTTTTTTCCATTATGTATGTTGTCAACTATCGAATTGTCATATGCAGCCTTTATTGTATTTAGGTACATTTCATCTATACCTAGTTGGTTGAGAGTTTTTAATCATGAAGTGATGTTGAATTTTACCAAATGCTTTTTCTGCATCTAGAGATGATCATTTTATTTTTGTCCTTCATTCTGTTGATATGATCTATCACGTTTATTGATTTGCAGATATGTAACCATTCTTGCATCCCTGGAACAAATCCCATTTGATCATGGCATATAATCTTTTTGATGTGTTGTGGATTTAGTTTGCTACTATTTTGTTAATTTTTGCATCTGTGTTTATCAGCGTGTAGTTTTTTGTTGTTGTATCCTTCCCTGGTTTTGATAACAAGGTAATGCTTGCTTCCTAGAATAAATTTGAAAGAACTCCTTCCCCCTTCAATTTTTTGGAATAGTTTCAGATGAATTGGTGTCAGTCTCTCTTTAAATGTTTGGTGGAACTGAACAATGAAGGCATCCAGTACTGGGCTTTTCTTTGTTGGGAGACTTTTTATTCCTGATTCAAGCTCATTACTCATTATTGGTATGCTCAGGTTTTTAATTTCTTCTTGGTTCATTCTTGGTATATTTTATGTGTCCAGGTTAAACTTCAGTTGCCTTTATAATCTAATGAGAGCTATGGACCAAAATTTTGGGTAAAGCACTTTCCGTGGCAGTTAGATTTTTTAAAAAAACTTCTTTCGGGCCGGGCGCGGTGGCTCACGCCTGTAATCCCAGCACTTTGGGAGGCCGAGGCGGGTGGATCATGAGGTCAGGAGATCGAGACCATCCTGGCTAACAAGGTGAAACCCCGTCTCTACTAAAAATACAAAAAATTAGCCGGGCGCGGTGGCGGGCGCCTGTAGTCCCAGCTACTCGGGAGGCTGAGGCAGGAGAATGGCGTGAACCCGGGAAGCGGAGCTTGCAGTGAGCCGAGATTGCGCCACTGCAGTCCGCAGTACGGCCTGGGCGACAGAGCGAGACTCCGTCTCAAAAAAAAAAAAAAAAAAAAAAAAAAAAAAAAAAACTTCTTTCATTGCCCCCACCTTTTTTGTTGTTGTTGTTTCAAGTGAGTTATGGGTTTCTTTTTAACTGAATTGTATAAGCAAAATATCTCCAAGTAGCCTTGAATTAGTAACAAATCAATCTTTTGTTTACCAGTCTTGTTTGCTTAATTAGCAAATGTGGGGAGGGAAGAATTTTAGCTGTTTTTTTTTCTTCACCTTTTTCTTTTTGGCTTTTGCATGGCACAAAAAACAAAATTTTTCTGTTGAACAGGGATACCTTCTATTATTGCTCTGAGATCAAGATTTTGACCTATTTGGTCTGAGAGCCTAACTTTTATAAACATTTATTTTTTTTTCTTTTATGTTACTAATTTTTCAATTAAGTGTTTCATTATTGTACACAGTTGTTAGGGAAACCTAAATTTATATTTATAAAAGGTGTCAGCCAGGTGCGGTGGTTCACGCCTGTAATCCCAGCACTTTGGGAGGCCGAGGCAGGCAGATCACAAGGTCAGGAGATTGAGACCATCCTGGCTAACACGGTGAAACCCCGTCTCTATCAAAAATACAAAAAATTAGCCGGGTGTGGTGGCGGGCACCTGTAGTCCCAGCTACTCAGGAAGCTGAGGCAGGAGAATGGCGTGAACCCGGGAGGCGGCGCTTGCAGTGAGCCCAGATCAGGCCACTGTACTCTAGCCTGGGGGACAGAGTGAGACCCCATCTCAAAAAAAAAAAAAAAAGGTGTCTAGGTGGTTGATTACCATGGAGCTATTGTAATCTGTAAAGCCATTAATTTCAAAGCCTTTAAGGCTGTTTTCTTTCCTTGACTGAAATGCCATAAGCAGTGAGTTTTATCTCAACACCTGTAGAAATGTCATCATGTTCAAAGTAGGCAGAAAAAAAAAGAGAGAGAGAGAGAGAACTTCTACATGTTAACTCTATAATTGCTGGTTTTTAAAAATAATGACCATTTCAGTTCTGAATTTTCCTTCATTTTGCCTATCTACTTATAAATGTGCACAAGAAAGTTAACATTGATTTTGAACATTTCAAACCAATTAATACATCATTGTATTTGTGTGACAACAAATTCCATACAGAAGCTCTTACAGCACTACTTTCAGATGAAAGCAAGTCTGGATTCATCGTAATAGATGGTAGTGGTGCACTTTTTGGCACCCTCCAAGGAAACACAAGAGAAGTCCTGCAAAAACTCACTGTGGATCTCCCAAAGAAACACGGTAAAGGTCAGTCAGCCTTGCGTTTTGCCTGTTTAAGAATGGAAAAGTGACCTAACAATGTTCAGAAAGTAGCAGAGACTGCTGTGCAGCTGTTTATTTCTGGGGACAAAGGGAAGGTGGCTGGTCTAGTTTTAGCTGGATCCGCTGACTTTAAAACTGAACTAAGTCAATCTGATACGTTTGATCAGCGGTTACAATCGAAAGTTTTAAAATTAGTTGATAGGCCGGGCGTGGTGGCTCATGCCTGTAATCCCAGCACTTTGGGAGGCCAAGGCGGGCGGATCACGAGGTCAGGAGATCGAGACCATCCTGGCTAACACGGTGAAACCCTGTGTCTACTAAAAATACAAAAACAAAATTAGCTGGGCGTGGTGGCGGGTGCCTGTGGTCCCAGCTACTTGGGAGGCTGAGGCAGGAGAATGGCGTGAACCTGGGAGGCGGAGCTTGCAGCGAGCCCAGATCACACCACTGCACTCCCGCCTGGGCAACACGGCAAGACTCAGTCTCAAAAAAAAGAAATTAGTTGATATATCCTATGGTGGTGAAAATGGATTCAACCAAGCTGTTGGGCTATCTACTGAAGTCCTCTCCAAAGTGAAATTTATTCAAAAGAAGAAATTAGTAGGGATACATTGATGAAATCAGCCAGGACACAGGCAGGTACTGTTTTGGTGTTGAAGATACACTAAAGGCTTTGGAAATGGGAGCTGTAGAAATTCTAATAGCCTATGAAAATCTGAATATAATGAGATATGTTCTTCATTGCCAAGGCACAAAAGAGGAGAAAATTCTCTAACTCCAGAGCAAGAAAAGGATAAATCTCATTTCACAGACAAAGAGACCAGGCAGGAACATGCGCTTATCAAGAGCATGCCCCTGTTGAAATGGTTTGCTAACAACTATAAAAAAGTCGGAGCTACATTGGAAATTGTCACATATAAATCACAAGAAGGGTCTCAGTTTGTGAAAGGATTTGGTAGAATTGGAGGTCTCTTGTGGTACCAAGTGGATTTCCAAAGAATGGAATACCAAGGAGGAGACGATGAATTTTTTTACCTTGATGACTACTAGGTAGTCGACATGGGTCCGGCAAAACATGCCTCACTCTCCAGCATCCAACCCAAGGAGCATACTCATGATGGAATCCAAACAGATCCCTGCCTTACAATTGGAACATTTCCAGAACTTAATCCATGAGCACTGGATATTGAAAAGAAAACAGAAACAAAACCAGACCCAACCCTACACTTTGGTTTGTCACGGTGTCAGCGTAGCAGCCTACAACTAAGTTCCTAAATGCCACTTTGGACTAATTTAAAAAAGAATCCCAGTTTTTACTTTTACTCGATGGTGAAATTGGCTGCTCTTGTATTTTATTTAAAAAATGATTTTTTTAACCTTTATACAAATAAGCAAAAATACTTTAACTGCTGTAAACCTTCAAAAGTTAATAGAAGTGAGATCGTACTGCTTTCTTATTTTGATTGGAGAGAAATTAAATTGCTACATTTTGCAGTGACCCATTTACATGGCATTCTCAGCTTAGACTGCATAAGAAGAAATATATGTGGTGAAATGTTGGAACCATTTCTCTCTTGGTCTCTGTTTAATGATGAAAGAGTGAGCTAATAGGAGGCAATTTCAACTTCACTCCCTCACGCTACCCCTTCCCCCTCCAGACTGGCCGTTTCAAGGATGAAAATTGCATTGCAAAATCAAACTGACTCATGAAGCATTTGGGCCAGTGCACTGTTTACTTCCATCTGTTTGCAGACACATTTGTGCCCGGTGTTTGGGAGCTCTTTGTATCAATGTTCCGACAAGGGTCCCAATAACCTTAACCTACTCGAAACCAGTTTGGGATGGATATGATGGGGCTTCTGTGCTATTGCTGGGATTGGGAGAAATAAAACATGCAATTTAAGTGGAAGCAAAACAATTAAAAATAAAATAAATAAATCCATTGCCTGATTCCATGTCTCCCTCCAATTACCGCCCCATTTCTCTGACACTCCTTATAGAATAATTCCTTAGTCAATTGTCTCATGATGTTTTTAATATATCAAATGGATTTATGGACAGTGTTTCAAAAGCCAAATACTTCTACAAGGCTTGTTATGAACACAGATGTCCCCAATCTTTCATGTACACCATTTCCTGAATCCTAGAGGCAATCTACTTTATTCTGCCTAATTTTTTGATCGTTACATCTGTGCCTCCAAATAGTGTGTTATAGTGCCGTTTTGTTTTTCACTCTTATGTATCATCCTTAGTGTATAGCTCCCTTTCATATACCCCTCTCCTCTCAATATAGTTATTTTATAATTTTGGTTAGCTGGGTGCTCACTATTTATATTATTATGACCACAGAAATGCTATTCACAGCTAGACTAGGAAATGCTATTCACAATTAGATTAGGAAATGCTGTTCACAATTAGATTAGGAAATGCTATTCACAAGGATTATTTTCCTTCCTGGAATTGACTTTTTAATTTCCCTGGAATTAATAAATGTTTTATCCCTTCATGTGCTTAATTTCTGTTGTACTCATTATAAAATCTCTTCCAAATTTCCCTCCAAGGCCTCTGCTATAGTTTGAATGTGTTCCCCAAAGTTCATGTGTTGGAAACTTGATCCCCAATGCAGTGATATTGGAAAGTAAGGCCTAATAGAAGCTGTCTGAGTCATGAGCGCAGAGCCCTCATGAACAAATTAATATCATTATTATGGGAGTGAGCCCATAATAATAATATTGTCCTCTCTCTTGCCCTTGACCCACTTGCCATGTGAAGACACAGCAAGAAGGCTCTTGCCAAATGCTGGTGGCTTGATCTTGGATTCCTAGCCTCACAACTGAGAAAACAAATTTCTGTTCTTCATAACTGACCCAGACTATGGCATTCTGTTATAGCAGCATAAATGAACTAAGACAGTCTCCATGAATATATTCAACCATGCCCCGTGTTCTACCAACCTCATCTTTGTGAAGACACTTCCCTTGGTCCTGCCACACGTGGACTGGTGCATGCACATCTGGGCTGATTTCCAAGATCGTCTTCACCTCATCCTGGGCATCCCTCTGCCTCTCTCTTATGCTGGCTCTCCTATTGCCTGGATCCCATGTGTCCCCTTTTTTGGTTTTCTCCATCGTTTTTGTTTCTCATTTCATCCGTGTTCCTAAGGGAACATGGAAAGTAAAATCTGAAAGCCTAAGCTTCTGAAAATGTCTTCGGGCTACCCTAGCACTTATTCCAACCTGGACTTGGTATGGAATTCTGTATTGAAAACATTTTTCCTAGGAATTTCCATGACATTCCATCAACATTTTTTAGCTTCTAATGTTGTTTTTCTTGCCTTTTGATGTTTTTGGGATTTCTTCTTTTCCACCCACCTTCTAAAATTTCATTGTGATGTGTCTTGGTGTGGGTCTGTTTTCATCTACTATAGTAAGAACTTGGTTGGGGCCATTACAAGTTAAATTTTTGTCTGTAAACTTGGAGAAATTTTTTTATTTTAAATAATTTCTATCTTTCCATTCTTTTAGAATTTGTATTATTAAGTTGCAGGAAATCCTTGACTGATAGCCTAGTATTCGTATAGTTTTTCTGTCTTTCTTGACATTGTTTTTCCATTTTTAATATTTAGTGGTAGTACAAATTTACTCTTCCAAGTGATCTATTGAAATACTTATTTAAATGATCACTTTTTGATTTCCAAGAGTGCTTTTTGGTTCTCTGATTGTATATAATTTTATAAAATCCTATTCATCATTTATAAATGCCATATCTTATTATTTCTTTTAGGTATTATTGAGAATAGTGGTAGTGGACCTGTTAGATCTCCTGGTTATCTGCTTTCATGGTACCATGAACTTTTCTTCACCACACTTAGCTCAGCAGTAATTTTATATTTCTCTTTGTAAGTTCTGCTAAATGTGCATCTCCTTCATGACAGTGCAAACATCAAATTGCCAGCATCTTACTTTTGCTCTTCACTGTATCTTCAGGGTCTAGTAGATCACATGATTCATCAGAGGACTTGAAATACATGCTGAATGAGGAAATATAAGTGTGGTTAGGCAGGGAAATCAGACTTCCTTGATCAATTGCCCCTTGATGTTCTCCTGAGCACTGTATCTCATGACCTCCTGTCATAGAACATTCAGGGACATTGAAAGAGTTCACTGGCATGGGATACAGCGTCATATCCACCACCAGATGGACAGGGAATCAGTGAAAGATGATTCCATTAAGAGAAAATTCCCTGGGTCCACTCCACCCCCACCACCTGCTTAACCTCTCTGAGTCTCCCTTTCCCTGTCTATACAAAGATATCACATATCGGGCTTCTCATGGGTTTGCATTGAAGATCAAATTTGACTCTCTCAGTAAAACACATGGTATTATACCTTGAGGTATATTAAGTGTTCTGCTACTCATAGCTACTATCCCTATATTGATTACAGCATTTGGATTGTTTCAATCATTTTGCTTTTATAAACCAAAATTCAAGAAACATCCTTGAACATATATTTTTTAGAATGTGTGCAGTTATCTTCTTAGGAAAAATTCTTGAAAGAGAAATATATGCATTGAAATGTAAGTCCATTTATATTGTTAACATGTTTCGCAAAAGTCCCCTCTAGAAATTTATACCCCAGAGTTTTTTGTTGTTGTTTTGTTTTGTTTTGTTTTTGAGACAGAGTCTTGCTCTGTTTCCCAGGCTGGAGTGCGGTGGCACGATCTCGGCTCACTGTAAGCTCCGCCTCCTGGGTTCACACCATTCTCCTGCCTCAGCCTCCCAAGTAGCTGGGACTACAGGCGCCTGCCACCACGCCCAGCTAATTTTTTTTTAATATTTTTAGTAGAGACGGGTTTCACCGTGTTAGCCAGGATGGTCTTGATCTCCTGACCTCGTGATCCACCTGCCTCGGCCTCCCAAAGTATACCCGTTTTTCATCAGCCTTCATGACAGTGTATTTTCCCTACCTCTGGATAATATGCTTATCATTTACTTTCACATATGCCAAACTGACAGATTTTAATTTTCATTCGCATTTCTAATGTCATGTTCTCATTTTTCCTCATATTCATTAATCAGAGTATATTGTCTGATATTTGATTTATTCTTTCCCATATTGCTTTCTAATATTATTATTTTTCTATTGGGATGACTTAAAAATGTTGAATTTGACTAAGAAAAAAAGCAGCTCTTGACTTCTGACACTGACAGTAGGTTTCAGTACTGTTAGAAGCTGTCCTACTGCTCAACACTAGGCCATATTATTCTTTTCTTGGACATAAACCATATTACACAACATCAGACAAGGACACTCTGGGAACATGATAAAACAAGACAAAACAGGGGCACTACATAATTTAGTATAAGCACAGACAAAAACCAAGGCACTGTGTACCTCACAAAATACCAAACCTCTCCCCCTGCTGGCTAATATGAGTGACGGCTGTTTCTTTACCAGCCACAACTTTATCCTTGCTCTGCTCTGCATTTATTATGGGTAAGATTTATTGAGACAGTCGTAGAAATGTTCCTGCTTTTTGACAACACCCCATCTACAGTCAACCCCTACCTCATTAGCTCTCCCCAAAAACATCCACTAAAAGACCAAATCCTATATTGCATTTTTTCTAATATCCTCACGCTAAGATGGTGTGCATTCTCTCTTGTGACAATGAGTAATAAACCCCAGTTGTTCAGCTATAGATGTTCCTGGTGGTCTTTGGCTGAAAGACATTGAAATATGCTACCTTTTGTCTTTCCAATTATTTATGTGTCTTTGAATTTGATCACAGGCATATGTTTGTATATTTGTGAGTCTGTGGTTGACATAGAGAAGTTTTATTTTTTTATTTATGGCTTTTCATATTTGGGTCATGCTTACAGAATCCTTTTCTACCTCACAATTGTAAAACTTAACATCTATTTTCATCTAGGTACAGATGATATGAAGAGAGGGAAGTCCCAGAGTGAAGAGAAACACACAGATATGTTTGATTTGGGGAGAAAGCTGGGGGGAATGAGCAAGAAGCAAAGAGTTCTAAGGTGGAGTTTTAACATTTAAAACCTGGTCAGGTGTGGTGGCTCACGCCTGTAATCCTAGCACTTTTGGAGGGCAAGGTAGGCAGATCACTCGAGGTCAGGAGTTCAAGACCAGCCTGGCCAACATGGTGTATTCACCAAAAAATACAAAAACTAGCCAGGTGTGGTGGTGTGTGCCTGTAGGCCCAGCTACTTGGGAGGCTGAGGTGGAAGAATCACCTGAACCTGGGAGGCGGAGGTTGCAGTGAGCCATGATTGCCCAACTGCAATCCAGCCTGGGTGGCAGAATAAGACTCTATCTCAAAAATGAAAAAGTTTAAATCATTTGCTTATAATTTTAAAATATGTCTACAAAGCCTATAAGATATTTTATATGGCAACTTCAATAAATACTTTCTCTTGGGCTAAGTAATGACTTATATACCTCCTTGTGTTCACCAGGTTATAGAAAACAGTAACACCAAGAGTCTCAATGAAATATTGACAAGGATTAGCTCTGGTGATAAGCATTTTTGAAAATGTATGACCTTGAGTTGATAAATCATGTTTTGGTAATCTATACGTACACTCTAATTGTTAAAATACATATTGAACTTTCTTGGGCCTGCTGTATTTTAGGGATATGTCTAAGACCCACATAGCCAAATCCATGGGTTCTATGTGAAGGTAATTTTAATGTATTTCAATCTGGGAGTCACAAGGTATCTTTTTTTGTGGGGGAGATTGAAAACTAAGAGCACTCTAGATAAGCACTATCAAAAATGGTAACTACTAGCTACACATGGCTATTTATATTTCAATTAATTGAATAAAACTTTTAAAAAATCAACTCTTTATCACACTAGCCACATTCCAAGTGCTCAATAACCACATGTAACTAGTGGCTCCCATATTGGACAGTGCAGATATAGATCAATTTCATCATCACAGAATGTTCTATTGAACAGCACTACTGCTATAGAGATTTTTATGCTCCTCCCAAAATAAAACCTAATCCCCAGTGAGATGATATTTGGAAGTGGGTTTGTTTTAGAGGAAGTGATTATGTCATGAGGTCAGAACTCCCATGAATTGAACTTGTACCCTTATAAAAGAGATTCTAGAAAGCTGTTTTGGCCCTTCTGCCATGGGAGGATGCAGTGAGAGGACAGCTATGAAGAAGCAGGCCCTCACCAGACACAGAGTTAGCTGACACCTTGATATTGGACCTCCCAGCCTCCAGCACTGTGAGAAATATCTTTCTTTTGTTTATAAGCCACCTAATCTAGGGTATTTTTGTTATAGCAACCTGATGGATTAAGATAACTGCTCTTGGTGCTATGTGGGCCTCAAGTCAAGTGCATTAGACACATCTAAAATGAAAGGGTGACTGGTTGTGGTGACTTACGCCTGTAATCCCAGCACTTTGGGAGGCCAAAGCAGGAGGATCGCTTGAGCTCAGAAGTTTGAAACCAGCCTGGGGAACATAGCAAGATCCCATCTCTACAAAATATTTTTTAAAATTAGCTCTACAAAATATATAATTTTTAAAATTAGCTGGACATGCTGGCAAGTGCCTGTAGTTCCAACAGCTTAAGAGTCTGAGGTGGGAGGATGGCTTGAGCCCCCCGAGAGTTCGCCACTACAGTGAGCCATTATCATGCCACTGCACTCTAGCTTGGGTGACACTGTGAGACCCCATCTTGGAAAAAACAGAAATGAAAGGGCCAATATTATTTCTCATAGAGATTGCAAATTCAAAGTGGGTCAGGAGTGAAATCTCTATTTTGTGCTTTTAGGCGCAAACCATTCCCAGCTCCAAAATGGAAACACATTTGCCACCTCTGTTCCCAGACTAAGGACACTCTCTGCATCCAATTTACAGGTGATAGGTTCTCTTCTATAAGAGCCCAGGGCAAGGCAAACTTAGCGCTAGCTAAGTTTTGGGATGCAGGGAGTCCTGCTCGGGGAGAAAAATTTGGGAAAATGAAGAGGCAAAGGGGCCAGTCAAGAACTCTCCACAGCTTACCCAGAACAGGATTTCTCAAAGTGCAATCTGTGGAACCCTTGTGGGCTGCTGAAACCCCTTCATAGATCCACAAGGTTAAAAGTATTTTTATAATACAATGAAGACATTATTTGTACTAAAGTAAAACTTGACAAGAAGGGAGGCTATGGTACCAAACTGAAATAGTAGTTATTATATTCTTAACCACTTCTTAATTATAGAAGAAAAAACAGGTTTCACTTAAATATGTCGTGGTTGAAGTATCAAAGAATTATTAACTTTATTAAATCTCTATCCCAGAATCCACAGTTTAATATATCTTAAATGAGTAAGTGGGAAGTACGCATAAGGTATTTCTACTACATTCCAAATTAGGATGTTTGAGGCCAGGCGCAGTGGCTCCCACCTGCAATTAATTCTAGCACTGTGGGAGGCCTAGGCAGGTGGATCATTTGAGGTCAGGAGTTCAAGACCAGCTTGGCCAACATGGTGAAACCCTGTCTCTACTAAAAATACAAAATTAGCCAGGCATGGTGGTGCGCACCTGTAGTCCCAGCTACTAGGGAAACTGAGTCACAACAATCACTTGAACCCGGGAGGTGGAGGTTTCAGTGAGCCAAAATCATGCCACTGCACTCCAGCCTGGGTAACAGAGCGAGACCCTGTCTTAAAACGAAAACAAAAACAAATTAAAATGTTTGTGTCCACAAAATCATTTTGTGAGTTGTACTAGTCTATTTTTTATGGAATATCCTTTTTACTTGAAAGAATGAATGACAGAAATGATTATCATTTAGACTTGAATATTTGGCTGACACTTTCTCAAAAACGAACATAACCCTGTCCCTTCCACATAATCAACTGATGGTATTATTCCCAATGATAAAAGGCAAGCTCTCAAGAGAAAATTAGAATCCTGGGGAACTTGTATCCACCATCATAAGCCTGATGGCTTCCCAATACTTAACAATCTTTTCTGGTAATATCTGTGGTAATATTAAAAAATGTGATTTTTTGATAACTTGTAGTTAAATGTGTCAACACTGGAAGACATAATGTGGTGAAATTGTGTTTCTTTTTTTAAAAGTCATGTATTATACAAGAAGCATTCAATGTGGAAGTCGGACCTATATATTTTAATGTAACAGCATGTGAAATAGTTATTGATAGTTTCATGTTCCACATTACAAATAACCTTTAAGAAGCTAACACTTCTATCATTTTAGTGTAGTATCAAGGATGAATATCCAGTTTTCTAAAAATGTTATTAAAAACATTCCTGGCCTAGCGAGGTGACTTATACCTGTAATCCCAGCATTTTGGGAGGCCAAGGCAGGAGAATCATTTGAGCCTAGGAGTTCCACCCAGGAGTTCGAATGAGACCCCCATCTCTACAAAAAATAAACAAAATTAGCTGCGGTGGTGTTTCGTGCCTGTGGTCACAGCTGCTCATGAGGCTGAATTGGGAGGATCACTTGAGCCCAGGAATTCGAGGCTGCCGTGTGCTATGATCACACCACTACACTCAAGCCTGGGTGATAGCATGAGACCAAAAGAAACAAACAAACAAACAAAACCCCCCAACAAAACCCAAAACAAGAACAGCAACAAAAATATCATTGTGTGAGGATGGATTTTTTTTCATACACTTCAACCAAACATAACAGATTAACCAAAATAACAGATTAAATGAAGGAGAAGAAAATTCATTAATCTTCTAATGAGACACATAAGAAAAGGATTTACAAACATACAAAATGTAAAAAGATGCACTCTTCTCACTATACTGTTTACTTTGGGAAATACTGACTTTGCATAAAAATATTTCTAACATGCAATGCATTATTAATATTCTAAATGAATAAAATAATTTAAGTGATTTTAGTTTCTAATATGGTAAATATTAACGTATATAACTCACATAAAATTATCTTCAGAGTCCTCACTAATTCCTAAGAGCATGCAGAGATCCTGAAACCAAAACGTTTGAGAAACGATGACGTAACTCCTAGCTCTGGATTAAGGGAGAATGTGTGACAAAGAGCATTTGGTATAGGAGGAGAAGGGCCAGGCCTTATCCTGTCTCTAGGACTGTGGCAAGGGCTTTGTGTGACCAGGTCAGCCTAG
Organism: Homo sapiens; assembly: GCF_000001405.40. Lineage (NCBI taxonomy): Eukaryota > Metazoa > Chordata > Mammalia > Primates > Hominidae > Homo > Homo sapiens. The sequence continues at coordinate 1,297,994 of NT_167245.2, forward strand.
GCTCAGGCTTAGGTCTGGCCCTCAGCCCCCATCTTGTTCATTGTTTTGTTTTGACAGAAGACTATGCCTGTTCTTCTTCTTGTATCTGAGTTCTGGTCTCCAAGTCTCCAATCTCCTCTAGGACAGCCGTAGGAGTTACTTTTTCTGTCATTGTCCTCACAAGCCCTGGGGTGGCCCCTGCACACAGGAGTCTCTGTGGTATCAAGAGACCAATTTTTAGACCCACCCAGCTCTTGTCCTTCCAGGGCTGTTTCCTGGACTATTCTTCGCATCTTTTCCCCAATCTTTTTCAGGAAATCAAATTCTGGAATTAGAGATCATATCTCGGTTTCTCACCTTAGATAAACTCCTGTTAGGTTTCTAACAGGAATTTATTTTTGGCTCACCTACCCTCTCTCCCTGCCTTTGGCTGTAATAATCCTAGTGCTGGCTCAAATCCAAACTCATGGATGTCTAGACTCTAATTTAATTCACAGTTGGTTGGAAAATAGGGTCCATAAGCCTAGGATCATTTTTTTTTTTCTGAAAAGGGAACTATAATTGTCTGCTGTGGTATATGAGGATTGGTGTGGGAGGGAGGCGAGAACAGCATTTGTGAGAAAAGTACAGGCAGCATTGATGTCAACATGAGTGGTTGTTTCACTGTAGCTGCCACAAAACAGCATGTGGTCTGCAGCTACATTAATAAAGATACTGTTTCTAGAATAGGGAGGTGCTGTACACTGGTCATTCATTTAGCCAATATTTGTTGAGTGCTGGCTGTATGAAATGCTAGTTTTACATCTGGAAACTAAAAACAGGCAAAAATTGCTGGCCTTGAGGGGCACATGTTTTAGTGGGAAAACACAGACTATGTACTATAAGCAGAGTAAATAAGGAAAGTGTTTCTGTCAAAAGGTGCTGAGGGGTGTGAGGCAGGTGATCCAGATTGTGGGTGTGTGGGGACAGGGAAGATGGCTGTTTTACTAGGGTGGTCTATGGTCTCACTGGGAATGTGACCTTAAGAGAAAAGATGAATTATCTATGAGGACGTCTGGGGCAGGTTCTTTCCAGGCAGGGGAACCCCCAGTGCAAAGGCACCAGAACAGGAGCACATCTGGGTTGTGGGAGGAGTTGAGGGGGCTCAGATAGCTGCAGCAGTCATTGATATAAGGTCAGAGATTTGGGGAGATCATGTAGGCTTGAGGATACTGGAAGGGTTCTGACTTTGCTCTGAGTGAGATGGGGGAGACACAAACAGCTGTCAGCAGAGTAGAGACTTGGCACATCTTTTAAAAGGATCATCCTGGCTGCTATGCTGAGAACAGAATTGAGAGATGAGGGGTGAGTGAGAAAGTGGGAAAACTGTAGGAAACTAGTGCAGTATTTCAGATTAGCAACTCTGGTTGCTTTGCCTGGGGTGTGAGCAGAGAAAAGAGTGGGAAGTGATTGGATTTCAGACACATTCTCAATATGGACTTCACAGTACTTCCTAATAGATTAAGTCTGGGGTATGAAAAAGAGGAGTCAAAGAGGAACCCCAAAATTTCAGACTGTGCAAGTAGAAAAATGAAGTTGTTGTCAGCACAGATGGGGAAAATTCTGAAAGGGGCATATTTGAGGAGGGGGCACTATAGGCATTCAATTTAGGAAATGTTGAATCTCAGATGTCAGACATTCAAGTGAGGTTGTTGTGTTGGCAGATGGATATGCAAGTTGGAAATGCAGGAGAAATGTCTGGGCTGGGAAAATAGATTTAGGAGTTAATGCCATATTAATGATATTTAAAGCATAGAGCATGCATGAGTCGCCAAGGGAAAGATGGCTATAGAAGAGAAAAAGGACATGGACTGAACCCTGGACCTTCAGTGCTAAGGGATTTCATCAGAACACACTCTGACAGCAGACTGCACAGTTCTAACACCACATCTAGAAAGTAAGTAAATCTGAGAATCTCAAATTTTAGTGTGCGTAGGAATCACCTGGACAACTTTCTAAGATTCAGGTGGTCTGGAGTTGAGAATGAGATTCTGTGTTTATAAAAAAGTTGAGGCAGACACTGATGGTCTTCAGATCACGCTTTTAGTAGCAAGAATGTAGACCAGGATTCCCAGGTGGCTGTGCATCAGCCTCACCTGTGGCTTGTTATTCCTGGGATCCATGTTCCACTTCTGAGATGGTGGGTATGGGGAAAGGCCTGAGTATTTTTGTAAAAAATCTACAAGGAATCCTGGTGATCAGCCAGATTGGGAACCACTGAGGTCAGTGATCAACAGTGCCTAGGGTGGGAAAGGGTCTTAAGTCCACATTTAAATGCTATTTTTTCTAATTTAAACATAAAGGACTTCTATCTGTCTATCTATCTATCATCTATCTTCATTAGGCTGGTGTTTATTTTATTTTGGGAAGGTCTGTGAGAATAGGCTTAAAGCTACATAGCTAGAAGCAGCATCTATAATCCCATCCTAGGTGGAGTCTCACATAGGAATCACTGCCCCTGATGCTGGGCACAGATGTCACTGTTCATACCAATGACACTCTAAAGCTAGACACTGGACCTTGCAGATAGAACTGCTATCACGACTGCTCCTGGCAACTGGACATTGCTGCTGCAACTCACACCACACTTACTAAAATGTGTGCACAGTACCAGCTTATGTCACCAGGCTGAGTCAGAATCCAGCAAGTGGTTATCTGCCTGGTGGAACCTAAGCCTCATCCCATATCCAGCTGCCAGAATATTTGGAAAAGTGAGTTTTTCTTTCGTGGAAGAAGTTGGTGTCTGCTTCCTACAATGACTCTTTAAGTATGAAATTCTTTAAGTATGAAATCATACTCTTTAAGTATGAAATTCTCCCTAACATGGAGAGGGTTCAGGTGCTGGGACACAGGAAGATAGAGTGGAAAAAGAATGAAAAAAAAAGTCAATTCCTAGAGCAGTAATCTGAGACTAGAACCTTATCTGGTATATCATAGACACTTGGGTTTTGCTGAATGAATCAGTGACTAATTAATTACAACTTTCAATTTATTTCCTTGATAGTCTGTTATGAAGTACAACTTTTTCCTGATCAGTTTATACTCAGATAAGTAGAGTGGCACTGTGGGATGGTGAAATGATTGCTCAAAACTTATCTCTTGTTAGGATTTTTTAAAATCTAGATGTCTAAGACTTCAGAGGACCTGTGTATACACTAAGATTTTATACTAATATTTATATTTCTTTGTATATGCACATATTTTCTGGAAAGAATATCTGTGACATTTATGTTTTTGTAACCCTATTTTAGGAAACCCTCTCTCAAACCACATTTTCCCTCTGCTCTCATACCACAACAATCATCAACACAGAAGACTTCTGTGACCAAAGATGTGGGGGTTTTTCCCCACACACCAAGCAGTGGACACCAGCTGGGTATCCTCCAGTTCAATGTCAACACTGTCTACCTGGAGATAGCATCATATCCCACAGATTGGGGGCTTAGTCCCCAAGACTACTCCACATCAGACACCAATCGCAGAAGTTCCCACCACCCACTCTGGGCTTCACTAATTTGCTGGAGTAGCTCACAGAATTCAGGGAAACATTTATGTTTACTAGTTTATTATAAAGGATATTACAAAGGATACAGATGAAAATACGTGTAGGGTGAGGTATCAGGGAAGGAGCATGGAGCTTCCATGCCCTTCCTGGGCACACCAACCTCCAAAAACCTCCACTTGTTCAGCTACCTGGAAGCTCCCTGAACCCAGTTCTCCTGGGTTTTTATGGAAGCTTCGTGACACCAGCATTCCTTCTCCCAATGTATAGTGTGGGACCCTCTCCAGAGAGGGTCTTAAGACCCATAATCAGAAAGGCAGAAGATTAGAGTCCTGCCTTGGGGCAGGTGAAATGAGGCCAGAAGAGAGATTCTGATTCCTGAGGCCTGCCGAGGCCGAACACACCCAATATTATTACAAAAGACCGAAACAAGGGAATATAGGAGCTAGGAACCAGGAACTGTGGCCAAAAACCAATCTATAACACCACACACCCCCACTGTCTTAGTCCACTCAGGCTGCTATAACAGAATACCTTAGACTGGGTGGCTTATAAACAACATAAAAGTATTTCTCACAGTTATGGAGGCTGGTAAGTCCAAGAGCAAGGTGTTGGTTAATTTCATGTCTGATGAAGGCCCCTTTCCTGTTTCATAAACGTATATCTTCTCCAAGTGGCCTCACATGGCAGAAAGGTGAAGAGAACTGCCTGGGGTCTTTCTGATAAAGGCAGTGATCCCATTCATGGGGGCTCTGCATTCATAACCTAATCACCTCCAAAAGGCCCCACCTCTAAGTATCATCACACTGGGGATTAAGTTTTAAACATAGGAATTTGGGTGGGGGATTGGAGACACAAACATCAGTCTAGAGCATCCATAAAAGTCTAAAAAATTATCCTAGGTTTGTCACCATGCTACTCAAACTCTGATCTATGAATAGCTGATATCAAACCATTTCTTCACAAACTCTCCCAAAAAGGAGAAAGGAACACTGCCCAACATATTCTATAAGGTATGTTCTATAAGGCTGGTACCAAAAGCAGACAAAACAATCACAAAAAAACTACAGATCGCTATTCATGAATATAGATGTGAAAATCTTCAAGAAAATACTAGCAAACAACCCAGCAATGTACAAAAATAATTATACACCATGACAAAGTGAGATTTATCCTAGGAATGCAAGATGGGTTTAATATCCAAAAATCAATTAATGTAATATATTATATCAATAGAATAAAAACCCACAATTATCTCAATAGATGCAGAAAAAGGTTTTGATCAAATTCGATACTCTTTCATAATAGAAACAGTCAACAGGTGGGCACATTGGCATGTGTCTATAGTCCCAGCTACTCAAGGAGACTGAGGAAAGAGAATCACTTGAGGCCAGAAGTTCGAGGGCATCTTGGGCGATGTGTTGAGACCATGTTACTTTAAAAAAAAAAGAGTCAACAAACTGGGAATTGAAAGGAACTTTCTCAGCCGGATAAAGGGCATCTATAAAAAAGCTACAGCTAACATCATACTCGTATTAGTCCATTTATGCATTGCTTTAAAGAAATACATGAAACTGGATAATTTATAAAGAAAAGAGGTTTAATTGGCTAAAGGTTCTGCAGGCTATACAGGTTTCTGCTCCTGGGGAGGCCTCAGGAAACACAATAATGGTGGAAGGTGAATGGGAAGTTAGTACATCTTACATGGCTGAAGCAGGAAGAAGAGAGAAGGGGGAGGTGGCACACATGTTTAAAAAGCCAAATCTCACTACAAAATCTCAACGAAAATTCACTATCATGAGAACAGCAAGGGGGAAGTCCACCCCCATGACCCAATCACCTCCCACCACACCCTTCCTCCAACACTGGGGACTACAGTTTGACATAAGATTTGGGCGGGTACACAAATCCAAACCACATCAATATTTAATGGTGAAAGACTGGTCGCTTTCCTCCTAAGATCAGCAATTAAAACAAGAATATCCACTCCCACTATGTCTATTCAACATTACCAAAGGTTCTAGCTAAGATAATTAGACAAGAAAAAAGCAATAAAGTATATTCAGATTGGAAAGAAAGAAGTAAAACTATATTCACAGATGACATGATCTTTTATATAAAAAAATGCTAAATGATCCATTAAAGAGCTATTAGAACTACTAACTTCAGCAAGGATAAAGGATATAACACCAGTATACAAAAATCAATTGTATTTCTAAACCCTTGCAATGACAAATCCAGAAATGAAATTAAGAAAACAATTCCATTTGTAATAGCTTTAAAGGAACAAAATACTTAGAAGCAAATTTAACAAAAGAAGTGCAACTCAAACATCAATGAAAGAAATTAAAAATCTAAATAAATGGGGTAAAGTTCATGGATTAGATTTAATATAACTCAATGATTATATTTCCAAACTGATAGATTCAGCACAATCCCTATCAGATTCCTAAATGACTTCTTCGTAGAAATTTGCAAACTAATTGTAAATTTATAAAGAAATTAAAGGGACGCAGACTACGCAAACAATCTTGAAAAAAAGAACAAAGGGCCAGGCACAGTGGCTCATGCCTGTAATCAATCGCAGCACTTTGGGAGGCCGAGGCAGGAGGATTGCTTGAGGCCAGAAGTTCAAGACCAGCCTGGGCAACACAGCAAGATCCTGTCTCTACAAAAAATAAAAATTAGCGGGGCATGGTGGTACACACCTGTCATCCCAGCTACTTGGGAGGCTGAGGCAGGGGGATTGCTTTAGCCTAGAAGGTTGAGGCTGCAGTGAGCCATGATTATGCCACTGCACTACAGTGTGGGTTACAGGGTAAGAAACTGTCTCTAAAAAATAAAAAGAAGAAAAGAACAAAGTAGAACTCATTCTTTCCAGTTTCAAAACATCGCATAAAGTAATGGTAATCAAGACAGTGTGGTACTTGCATAAGATAGACATAGATCAATAGAATAGAACTGAAATTCAGAAATAAAACCATGTGTCTACTGTCAACTGATTTTCAGCAAGGGTGCTGAGCACATTCAACGGGGGAAAGCACAGTCTTTTCAACAAATGGTACTGGGGAAACTTGATAGCCACATACAAAATGATGGAGTGGACCTTATGGTGGTTGAAGTGTGTACTCCGAAAGGTTTGTCTAAGACCTGACCACCAGTACCTGTGAACGTGAACTTATTTAGAAATGGTGTCTTTGTATATGAAATTAAGTTCAGGTTCCCAAGAAAAGATCATCCTGGATTTAGGGTGGGACCTAAATCTAGTGACTGGTGTCTTAATAAAAGAGAAGGAGATATGACATAAACAGAGAAGAGACACAGGCAAGAATGCCATGTGAAGATGAAGGCAAAGATTTCAGTGATGTATCTCCAAGCCAATGGAGCAACAACTACCAACAGCTACCAGAAGTTAGGAAAGAATCATGGAATGAACTTTCCCCCAGAGCCTCCAGAAGAAACTAATCCTGCCAACACCTGGATTTCAAACTTCTGGCCTCCAGAACTGTGACAGAATACATGTTTGCTGTTTTAAGCCATCAAATCTTGGCAATGTGTTACACAAGGTCTAAGAAACTAATACAGGCCTTTACTTCACACTATATACAAAAATAAGCTCAAAATGGAAGAAAGATCTAAATGTTAGTGGTGAAATTACAAAATTCTTGGAGGAAAACCTAGGTGATAAATCTTTATGAACTGGCCGGGTGCGGTGGCTCATGCCTGTAATCCCAGCACTTTGGGAGGCCGAGGCAGGTGGATCACAAGGTCAGGAGTTTGAGACCAGCCTGACCAACATGGTGAAACTCCGTCTCTACTAAAAATATAAAAATTAGCCGGGTGTGGTGGTGCACACCTATAATCCCAGCTACTCAGAAGGCTGAGGCAGGAGAATGGCTTGAACCCAGGAGGCAGAGGTTGCAGTGAGCCGAGATCACACCACTCCACTCCAGCCTGGGCAACAGAGTGAGACTCCGTCTCAAATATATATATATATATATATATATATATATATTTATGAACTCAGGTTGGACAATGGATTCTTAGATATTATGCCAAAGCACAAACAAAAGATATTAGATAATATTGAGAAAAATTAGATGTCATCAAAATTAAAATGTTTATGCTTCAAAGGACACTATCAAGAAAGTGATCCACAATATATACATATATCAAAACATCACATTGTACCCCATATGTGTATTATTTACTAATTAACAGTAAACATTTAGATCAAAAAATTAAAATAGTTTTAAAAATTAAGAATTTTTTTAAAAGTGAAAAAAACCCACAGGAAAGGAGAAAAGATTTGCAAATCATACATTTAACAAGAGATGTTTCTAGAATATATAACAATCTCCTACAACTTAATTGCAAAACACACATAATCCCAATTTTAAAATGAGCAAAGGAGTCCGAGCGCAGTGGCTCACGCCTGTAATCTCAGCACTTTGGGAGGCTGAAGTGGGTGGATCACTTGAGGTCAGGAGTTCGAGATCAGCCTCACCAACATGGTAAAACCCTGCCTCCACTAAAAATACAAAAATTAGCTGGGTGTGGTGGCACACACCTGTAGTCCCAGCTACTTGGGAGGCTGGGACACAAGAATCGCTTGAACCCAAGAGACGGAGGTTGCAGTAAGCCAAGATCGCACCACTCCACTCCAGCCTGGATGACAGAGCAAGACTCCGTCTCTAAATAAATAAATAAAAATAGAATGAGCAAAAGATATGAACAGTCATTTCCCTAAAGAAGATATACAAATAGCCAATAAGTTCATAAAAAAGATGATCGACATTATTAGGGAAATGCAATTTAAAACCACAGTGAAGGCTGGGCATGGTGGCTCACACCTGTAATTCCAGCACTTTGGGAGGCCAAGGTGGGTGGATCGCAAGGTCAGGAGTTCCAGACCAGCCTGGCCAACATGGTGAAACCCCATCTCTACTAAAAATAGAAAAAATTAGCTGGGCATGGTGGCAGGTACCTGTAATCCCAGCTACTTGGGAGGCTGAGGCAGGAGAATTGCTTGAACCTGGGAGGCAGAGGTTGCAGTGAGCCGAGACCACACCACTGCACTCCAGCCTGGGCAACAGAGCGAGACTCTGTCTAAAACACACACACGCACGCGCGCGCACACACACACACACACACACACGAGATACCACTTCCCAGCCAAAGAATGGCTAGAATCAAAACATCAGATAATAAGTATTGTTAAGGATATGCAGGAATGAGAACCCTCAGACACTGCTGGCAGGAATGTGTAATTATGTAGTCACTTTGGAAGGAGTCAGGCTGTGGCTCAACTGATTAAAAATGAAGATACCATACGACTCACCCATTCTTAGGTATATGTCCAAGAGAAATAAAAATGTGTCACACAAAAATTTGTAAATGAACATTCATAGATGCATTATTTGTATTAGCCAAAAGACAGAAACAATCCAGATGTCTATAAACCGATAAATAAACAAATGTGATACATCTATGGAATACAGTATTATTTGGCCATAAAAAGCAATGAAATACTGATACATGCTATAATATAAATGACACTTGGAAACATTAAGTGAAAGAAACTAGTCACAAAAGACCATATATGATTATATTTACATATGAATTTTCCAAAATAGGCAAATCCATACAGGTAGGACATAGATTAACTCTTGCTTAGGGTTTGGGGTGATGGGGAAGGGGGAATAAGAGAGTAATAGCTATAGGGCATGGGGTTTCTTTTTCAGGCGATGATAATATTCTAAAATTGAATGCAGTGATGGTTGCACATATTTGGGAATATACTTTAAAACTTTGATTGCATACATACTTTATTTTTTTCCAGATTTATTGAAGTATAATTGACAAATAAAAATTGTACAGTGTGACTTTTTATTTGTACATAATATTTGCACATATTTATGGGGTACATGTGATATTTTGATACACACATAGTATCTAATAATGAAGTTAGGGTACATAGGATATCCGTCACCTCAAGCATTTATTTCTCTGTGTTGGGAACATTACAAGTCTTCTAGCTATTTTGAAATACACAATATATTGTTGTTAATTATAGTCACCCTACTGTGCTATCAAACACTAGAACTTATTCCTTCTATCTGACTGTACGTTCGTACCCATTAACCTACCTCTCTTCATCACCCCCCTCACACACCCACAAACACACACACACACACACACACACACACCCTTCCCAGCCTCTGGATACTATCTTTCTGCTGTTTACCTCGATTAGATCAACCTTTTAAAGCTCGCACATGAGTGAGAACATGCAATATTTGTCTTTCTGTGCCTGGCTTATTTCATTTAATATCAGAACCTCCAGTTCTGTCCATGTTAGTGGAAATGACAAGATTCCATTCTTTTTATAGCTAAATAGTATTCCATTGTGTATATATGCCGTATCTTTTTAATCCATTCATCCATTGATGGACAGTTAGGTTGATTCCCTGTCTTTGCTATTGTAAATAGTACCACAGTAAACATGGGGGTGCCAGTATCCCTTTGATGTATCGATTTCCTTACCTTTGGATAAATACCCAGTGGTGGTATTGCTGGATCACACAGATCTATTTTCAGTTTTCTAAGAAATCTCCATACTGTTTTCCATAGTGGCTGTACTAATTCACCTTCCCACCAACCGTGTGTAAGAGTTTGTCTTTATATCCTAGCTACCATTTTTGTCTTTTTAATAATAGCTATTCTAGCTAGGGTAAGATGATATATTATTGTGGTTTGCTTTAAATTTCCCTGATAATTAGTGATGTTGAGCATCTTTTTCACATACATGTTGGCCATTTGTATTTCTTAAGAAATTTCTATTCAGATCCCTTGACCATTTTTAAGGGGATTTTTTTTTTTTTTTTTTTTTTTTTTTTTTACTGTTGAATTGTGTTCCTTGTACACTCTGGATATTAGTCCCCTGTTGGATAATTTGAAAATATTGTTCCCATCTACAGTTGGTCTCTTCACTCTGTTGTTTTCTTTGCTGTGCAGATTTTTAGTTTAATATAGTCCCACCTGCCTATTTTTTGTTGTTGTTGCCTATGCTTTTGATGTCTTAACCATAAAATCTTTGCCTAGACCAATGTTCTTGAGCATTTCCCCTATATTCTCTTTTAGTAGTTTCATAGTTTCGGATCTATCATTTAAGCCTTTAATCCATTTTTGGTTGATTTTTTAATATGGTAAGAGATATGAGCCTAGCTGCAATCTTCTGCATATGGATATCCAGTTTTCCCAGCACCATTTATTGAAAAGGGTGTCCTTTCTTGGTGCCTTTGTTGAAAGTCAGTTGGCTGTAAGTATATGAAATTATTTCTGGGTTCTCTATTCTTTCCATTGGTCTATGTGTCTGTTTTAGGCCGGTACCATGATGATTTGGTTTCTACTATAACAGTTACAAAGCTATTACTATAGCTTAACTATTGGATGGGGCTCTTTTGTGGTTCCATATGAATTTTTTTTATTTTTGAGATAGGGTCTCACTTTGTCACCCAGGCTGCAACACAGTGGCGCAATACCAGCTCACTGCAGCCTTAACCTCCTGAGGTTCAAGCGATCCTCCTGCCTCAGCCCCCTAAGTAGCTGGGACTACATGCACATGCCACCACACCCAGCTAATTTTTGTAATTTTTGTAGACATTTCACCAGGAACAAATAGAAAACTTGAACAGACCAACAATGAGTAATAAGACTGAATCAGTAATTAAAAGTGTCTCAATAAAGAAAAGCCCAGGACCAGATGGCTTTCCTGTCAAATTCTACCATACATACAAAGAAAAATTAATACCAATACTTCTCAAAATATTTAAAAAAAACTGAAGAGGAAGGAATTATTCTTAACTCATTTTATGAAGCCTGCATTGCCCTGATACCAAAAGCAGAGAAGAATACAAAAAAAAAGAAAATTACAGGCCAATCTTCCTAGTGAAAATATACACAAAAATCCTGAACAAAATTTTAGCAAACTGAATCCAACAACATATCAAAAATATACCACAATTAATTGGGATTCATCCCAGGGATACAAGAGTGGTTCAACACACACAAATCAACAGACATTAACATTTTTTAATCTTATTTGAAAAGGTGGATAAAACTGAATTTGGAATTGGAAGATTTGTTTTGGGTCCCCACTCTGCCATTTCCAAACTCAGTACTCTATCAGAACTAAGTCACAGGGTGCTTGAGGGCTCAGAAGCTTTTGTCCAGCAGACAAGAAGGAACTGTTATTACACAGCCTTTGACCCTCTAGGGACTCCAGCAACCTCGTACTGAAAGGAGACTCCTTGTCTCCTTCTCTGGGGACCCTTTTGTTCAGAAATAAAACTTTCGTGCTGCAGGTGCCTTGAGGAGACGACATGTGGGTGATCTTTTCTAGAAGGCAGTGGAGTGAAAGTTTTGGGAAAAGTGACAGAAAGAGAAACAAATCCTGTACTGGAAGCTCACTGAAAACCAACTAAGTAAACAAATATTTTAGTACCTCAACTGAAATATAAGCATAAACAGAGGTTGACTATGATTGTACCTGGACAAGATGAGTAAAAAGCTAAAGTGGTCTGTTATCAGCTATTTATGTATTTTGGGCCTGTCTCCAGCAGTTAACAAATGTCCTTTCTTTCAACAAATATCTATTAAGAGGCTAACATGTGCCAGACTCTACAGAACAGGCTTACAGGCATAATGCCACAAAGGAACAGAAATCTAACAGGCTTCAAGATCAGGCCTGTCAAATAAATGTACCACAATTTATATATCATACATATATCTAGTACACAGTCACCAGAACATAAGATTAAACATGTTAATGTTTATCTAAGTATCATTTTTAAAAGAAAAATAAAACAAAAACTGGAAACAACTAAATGACATCAACAGAATATATAATTAAGTTGTGGCATATTCATGTCATGGAAATGAACTACAGTGTCACACATCAACATGGATGAATCCAAAAATAATAATGAGCAAAAGTAGTCAGTCATATACAGTATAATTCTATTTATATAAAGGCTATAAATAAGCAACTGTTAGGGATACACAGACAGTAAAATCTATAAAAGCTAGGTGACAGTTATACAAAATTCAGGATAGTGGTTGCCTCTGGCTGCAGGGGAGAGAGATATGAATGAGAGCATACGAGGCTCCTGGGATGTAGTAATGTTCCATTTCTCAGTCTGAGCAACGGGCACCTGGACATTTATTATTGTTCTTCTAAATATACATTTTCATTTGTGTATTGTATATTCTATTTCACATTAAAAAGAAAAAAGACCAAAAAAAAAACATTAAGTGTGACTCAAGATTTAAGCAGACACAGTGCAAAGAAATGAAAAGGTGGATATAATTTGAGGTAGATGATGGATGCAGGTTTGGACAAACTGAGTTCCTGAAACATAGACTTTTATTCTTAGCCGTATTAGGTGTGAAATTGCCCTGAGAGCACCAGTTGCTTTTATGCTAGATTTGGAGGGGAAAGAGGGCAGTTGAACTCAGCAATTTATGTGTCCAGCACTGAAAACCTTCATGGTAAACAATTACTAATAGGTTATATGTTAGGTTACTTTTCAGTCCCACTCAGCTCAAAGGGCTTGTCATTACCCTACTGATTTGCACTTCTAAGTCTTCTGCCTGTTGCATTCTGATGATCCATTTCTATGCAAAACATAGAATCTAAAGCTGAGACACAGCAATAGAGGACCAGAGAACAGACACAGCAACGAAGTTTCCATGAGGCAAATCAGGAGGGTAGGAATGAGATTTTGATGTGCATCCTGGCCAAATTCCAGAACTAGCAAAGAGAGGTCAGTTCCTAATTCCAATCAAAGCAAATTCAGTCATCTTATTTTCACACAGAAGTGGTCTACATTGATTTTTAAATCTCTTTAAGGGATTAGGGAGCCTCTGAAATGCAAAGGAAACTAAACTGATAGTAATGTAAAATGAACAGTGACCTATCATACCAGCAAACACTGTCAAAAACAGAAAGCTAATGGTGGGACTGGAATCTAGAACACAGAAGTTATGTTTATCCAGTGCTACACTGTGCAACAGGGTAGTCACTTGCCACATGTGGCAATTTAAATTTAAATGAAATTCAATTAAACATTCCATTCCACAGCTGCACCAGCCACATTTTAAATGCCTCAACAGCCACGTGTAGCAAGGGCTACTGTACTGAGGAGCACAGACACAGAACATTTGTATCAGTGGCTGACCTAGCAGTATCCAGGGTAAAGGGTGTTCTGCTAGTAAAGCAAGGTGGGCATCAGAATTATCACAACTTAAGCATAATATTCCTGAGGGCATCTATTTCCATTTATTTGCTTCTCTGCTTACCAACTCTGAACCCCTGCTTTCCCAACTTTCTGGTATCTGGGAAGAAAATAAACTGACTAGAAAACACAAATTTCATTCTGCTTGACAACTGTAATTCTCACTAAATTTATAAATTTGCTTTCTGATTTATCAATGAGTGCCAAAAACATGAGTTTGAGAAAGGCTGAGTTTGATTATCCCTGAGTGGATCCAAGCATTAGGAAGGTCTTGCTTAAGTGGGTGATAGGAAGTGACAAAAAAAGCTGGAAGAAACATGACAGACTATAATACTCCCTTCCCTAACCTTCCTCCTTTTCACCCTGCTCACCTGGGCCAGGTTAGAATCCGTCCTTTGTAAAGCACCCTGTACCTTTCTATTGTAACCTTTATTTACTACATTATCTGTTTATAGAGTGATCTATGCCATTAGTTGAAAATTATTCAAGGGCAGAGACTTCTCTTTATTCACCTTCAGTAACTAACATAATGCCTAGCATGTAGGAGGCTCTCAAAATTAAGTTTCTCATTCAAATAAATTGTACAGAGCAAGTTACACTTTTAGGGGCTGGCTAGTAGTTATCTGATGAAGGTATGATATTAAAGACCATATACTAAACTATAGCAATCTCATCAAAATAACCTTGGAGGGCTGGGAACAGGGAGAATAAGAGAAGTAGATTAGAACAATTCTTTATTCACCACCATTGCCCAACCCCGGTCTTTCCAAGTGGGGAAACTAACATTTATGAAACAACTAATACATACCTACACTTCACAAAAAAAACAGTCCTTCCATAAATGCCATCAAATATTATTGCCATTTTAAAGATGAGGACACTGAACACTAGAAAGGATATGCAACTTGAACAAATGCAAGTCAACTAAAAAAGTTAAGCTAATTTTCAAGTGCAGAACTATCTATCTGTATCTGATACAAATGGGAATATTCACTGAACCCTGGAGAGAACGAGCATTTGAAAAAAAAAAGGGTTCACTTAAGAGATATGATTTTATCATAACAGCATTGAAACTTTAATCTCTTATTTTTCCTATTTGACTTCTTAAAAAGGGTGGCATTGCCAAGAATTTTCTTTGATATGGTTTCACAATTGTATTCACCTTCTCTCCATTCTGAGACTTATCCATAAGAATACTCACTTTAATCCGACTTCTACTGCATGGTTGGAAAAGAAGATACGCAATAACTCTTTCAAACTCCTTTATCTCTTTTACTCTCTCATGCTTCTCATATGTAAGTAGCTGGCTCTGGCTTCTTCTCAAGATTCTCTCCTTGAGTCTTTGTTCTGCAAGTTCTCTCCCTCGAATCATGCGTTCCTGGTGATCCTTAGTCTGCATCTGTTCCCTCTCATTTACCTGCTTTCTTCTCTGTGCGTTCTGGATGCCATGCCCTTCTGGCATAATTTTTGGTAATTTTGTTTCATTGGGGGGTTGTAGTACTTGTCTAAATGGTTTGTTCTTAAATTCTCCAGCCTTTCCTGTTTGATGTATGTGCCTTTCTATGTGTTTCATCTCTCTCTCAGGTACCAAACAGTACTGTTTTAGTCCTTCTACGCTCTGGGTTGTTTTCTCCTCCATTTTTTTCTAGATTTCATTGCCTGTCTCTTCTTTCATCATTTCCACTATTATTTTATTATAATAAGACTCTGCTTTGGCAAGCCAGTAGTCAAGAGAAACAGCTTGCTCCCTACAGAGTATTTCACACTCCTCCTGATATTTCTGCATTATCAACTGTCTTGCTGCTGTTGTATGCACACCACCTAGATTCTGTCAAAATGAAGTCAGAAATTTATAATGTGATCATCTTTTTCCTTTGAACACATTTAAACAGGAGCCAAGCCCACCCTCCCTAATGACACCAGGAAAAGCTACATGCTCTTTACTTTAGCTTAGTTGTTATTTTATTCCCATCACTCCCAGGTGAGCCTGGGAGCTCTGAAAGTATTAAGTACTCACCACCACAAATCAGTAACTAGGTTTAAAAATGTATGGTGTTGGAAGTTTCCAAAAATGATACTTTGTTTTGCAACTGTGGATATAGCTGGGTAACATTTGCCAGTGTAGACATACTACCTGAATGTGTCACTTGGGCAGAAGGATTTTAAACCTAAGATTCCTTCTCTGTGTAGTTCCAAACTGTATGATGTGAAGATAATTTACTTACCAAGATCTTTTTTTCCAGTGGAGACTGCTGACCTGCAGCAATCCTAGGATCTTTAGATGATGTACCCCAGGCCAATCTGGAAGATAAAAAAGGCAAGGTAGATTCAAATGTAGGAGGTGTCAGAACAAATCTGCTAATAGGGAGGACTACAGCAGGGCCATTTCCCCCATGGGAAACCACTGCATTCCTATGGTAGAAAATAATGAATGCTCTTTTAATAAGAGGATCTTTCCTTTCATATGAACAAGCATACTTTTCCTGTGGACTCAGCGTGAACCACTGTGAATCTCGTATTGGGGATTGTGAGTGGGAAGAGACATGCTCCTTGGTGAGGTGTTGTCCAAGTACATCTATGTCAGTCTGCTCAGTCCTCAAGCCTCCTTTGTGTTCTGAGACGATTGTAGGTTCTAGTTTTCTAGACGATTCTAGGTTTCTAGTTTTCTCTTCCTGCAGTTTCTTGATCCGGGCCCTCTCTGACTCTATCAGCACATACAGCATTTCTGCCCTCTAATCTTTTGTTCTGAAATTCTGTTATTTGACTGCTCAGCCCTCTGCTTGCCTGACTAACAATGCCAATCATCCTTCACTCTAAATCCATTATGAGACTATTCCCTGTTGAACCCCTCAGGATGGCAATTTGTGGTTACTCTGGGTTTATTTATAGAGGAGGCTGATGGCAACACAAATGAAAACTATCATCTTTTATGTGTCATCCCTGGTCTAGCCTGAGTTTACTGTGATGTCGTATTTAAGCCACTGAGGATGCCTGGCATTTCCTCTGTATGTCTTTTATACCATTTAGAGTTCAAAGGATGGTCTTTACAGTCTGACAGAGCTAGATCTGAAATCTAATTCTACCACTTCCTAGGTGTGTGACTCAGGGCAAGTAACTTCTGTCAGCTTTCTCATCTATAAAATGGAGATGTAAGACAAAAATCTGCCTCTCAGGGTTATAAAGAACAAATATGAATTAGATGTAAAGAGCTTGGTAAGTTCTCAATAAATTCTATCTATCTGTCCTTCACAGGTCAAGCTCCTGATTATAAAGTCTTTCCAGTCTACTCTGTCAGTGATCTTCCCTTCCTCTAAATACTTGACATATTTTAATTCTACAACTCATTTGAAAATTAATCGTGGTTTACACTGTGATATCTGTATTCACATATCACTTTTAACATTTTGATGCTGAAATTTAGGCTCATAAGGAATGAAAACTGTAATTTATATCTACAAATATGATGCCTCTATATTGTTGGAAAGGATCTGATATCAAATATTTGGTCTCACTGACCTCTTAGGAACATTCTTATTTGTCTACGTAAGCTTATTTTGAGATTGTAAACGTATGATCATCTTACTTTTACTTCTCTGTACATGGCTTCTAGCACAATACTTAACATTAGAGTCTGTGATCCCAAGTTCTCAAAATTAATGATTTGCTGATTGCTGATGATCCTTGACACATAATATCTGAGCATCTTTTTTAAATATCTGCCATAACATTGTATCTATTTTTATTAAGCCATTTCCCAGTCTTCCTTGAAGTTTACAGATATGTTTGCTTTATATGCATGTTCTGGGCTCTCACATTTTGTACCTACTAGCACAGTTTTATTATATTCTAATTATTCATTCATGTTCCTTGAGGTCAGAGAACACAGATTTCAACTTTGCAGGCTCAGCCTCAGCTCAAAACCTGGCATAGTTGCTCAATAAATCTTTACTGATTAGACTGTGAGCTTTTGTTGGGAAAAGGATATGCCTTTTAATGCTTTGTTCCTTTACTGCAATTCACAGGGGATGTTGGCTGTTTTTCAAATTAAAAACAGAAAACTGAGGAGGGTAGAATTTCAAGTTCCATTTTCAAAGGAGACACACAGATAAGTGAGAATAAAAACTGTCTACGACAATCAGCTCAACAACACGTCTCCCTTTGTAAGACAGAATAACAAGCAATTTCACAGTTAAGTGATAGGGCTTGTCACTCTTCAGCAGTTTGCTGAGTTTTAACCCTTTCACTATGGCGTTCTCTCCATTATTACAGAGAAAGGCAGATGGGAGCCTCTCCCAGCGAAAAGACTACAGCTTGTGTCCTTCATAGGAGAAAACAGTGATGGCTCCAGAACTTTTATATGAATGAACTTAGCACAGCTATCAGAGTGGATGGTGGTGGGAGGGCTAGCAGGAAACTAGTAAACAACTACAAGCTGCCCCTTCAGGGAAAGTTTCTACTTGGAATATAAGTTACAGATTAATGAAAATAGAAAGATTTCCCAAAGATACTTATTCTCATGTTTTATAAAAGATCAGGGAAATGTCAGCTGTCCACTTAACGGATGACATAATGAATTAAGAGTTCGATAGGCGGCAGGCACAACTAAAAGCCAAACTCGACCTAAGTCTTATGAAATCCTACTTAATGAGCTTTCTTGACTACTGCTAGCCTCACTTATCTGGCAGGAGTCGAAGGAGAGGAAGCCCCAAGCTCCTCTGTTCCACCACCTCCAAAGTCCTGAACCCCTTCTCAAGTGTACCACTTCATCCCTGCTTCCTTTCGTCCCGTGGGACTAAGCATTCCTCGGGCCTTCACTCTCACCACTTGCTGTCCCTCAAAAAGCCGACTCACCCCTTTCCAAGCGCAGTGAACCGTCCGCAAAGCACGAGGCCGGTTGCGAGCTGCAGAAAGCCCACGCTCGCCAGCGGGACCCAAGGAACGCTAGAACTATACGTCCCAGAACACTTAGCTTTGTTTTTAACTACGGTGCAGCCGCAAAAGGGAAATACCGGCTCAGGACCCAGGGGAGTTGTAGTTCTCTAATCCAAAGAAATCATTATTTGGCAACGTACGGTTTTCAGGGGGATATACCCCGCGACTGCGTTCCTGTAGGATGTGAGACAAAGAGAATAAATATCCCAGGATTGGGTGCTGGTGGGAAAATCTGCTGGAAGCGCAGCATTGGTTACCAATTTTGTGCTCAACCTCTCAGTACCAGGGTGAAAGTGGAGACGCAATCTCCCTTGGAAGACGTTAGTCTCCATCTCTAACGCTCCCGAGACACGGTTCGCAATTAATTATGACGTCACAGCCAATCGTCAACGCGAAAGCCTGACGCTCTAGCCGGCTCTATCTCGCTGCCCCGCCGCGGGCGCAGAGCTGGCGCTCTAGCCCACGGAGTTGGTTAACTCCTCTCACCGGCCCCTGGAAAGGGTTCCAAGTCCTTTAGTACCCGACGCTGTCTGGGAATTCCGGGCGTTTCGGCTCCTTGGTCGCAGAGGCAGGAGGCGTGCGTGGCAGGAGGGTTCGGGTTATATACTCCTAGGTCCTGGGACAGAATAGTTACGACCTCTGGGACAGGAACTCTTCTCTCTTTTGTTAATAAACTTCCAACTCCCTCCTCAGACCCGACCGCATGTCTGTCATGGACCTCGCCAATACTTGCTCCAGCTTTCAGTCGGACCTGGATTTCTGTTCAGATTGCGGCTCGGTCCTGCCTCTGCCCGGGGCTCAGGATACGGTCACCTGTATTCGCTGTGGCTTCAACATCAACGTTCGGGGTGAGAGGCTTGTACGCAGGGGTCCTGGCGGAGGGCGCAGGGTCGGAAGCTTGGGGAACTCAAGATCGGTTGGGTTGAGGAGGGGATCCTAGAGCAGGACATCAGGCGGTTGTACATTTGGTCTAGCGATGAAAACTGAGGGAAAGGATGTAGGGCCTCCTGGCCTAACCAGCCAGGGGAAAGGGGAGGTTTCCGGTGTCAGCTGTCTCTGGTTGTCTCCATAACCAGTTCTTACTTGCCTGTGCAGACTTTGAGGGGAAGGTTGTGAAGACTTCGGTTGTGTTCCACCAACTGGGGACAGCCATGCCTATGTCGGTGGAGGAAGGGCCTGAGTGCCAGGGACCTGTGGTAAGCTAATGAGATCAAGAACTGGCTCCATAAGGTGGGTAGGAAAGAAATGGAGGAGTGATTGCAAAGCTCTGGAGAGTTTTGTGCCCAATTCCAAGAGGGAAAAGAGATGTAAACCATCGACGTTTGAGAGGCGTGATCGCCTGATTCCTGTGGGAAGTAAGGGGATATGACCAGGCCTCCCTAACCCACCAGTTTCTTCCCAGGTTGACAGGCGCTGCCCTCGATGTGGTCATGAAGGAATGGCATACCACACCAGACAGATGCGTTCAGCCGATGAAGGGCAAACTGTCTTCTACACCTGTACCAACTGCAAGTGGGTATTCTTTCCCCTCCCTCTGCTCAGTCTGTTTGCTAACTAAACAAATCCAGTGATTTATTTTTTTGTACGAAATGGCCGTTTCCCTTGGTCCCATCCCTTATTTCTGTGCAGTTCTGGTAATAGGGAGATTTGTAGTTGTTTTTTATTTTTTTAAGTTACACTTTTTTAAACCTTTTTATAACCAGTGAAATAAACCTTTTAGGATTTTTTTTTTTTTTTTTTTTTTTGACAGGGTGTCGCTCTGTCACCTAGCCTGGAGTGCAGCGAGGCAATCTTGGCTCACTGCAACCTCCGCCTCCTGGGCTCAGGTAATCCTCCCACCTCAGCCTCCAAAGTAGCTGGGACCACAGACACATGCCACCACGCCTGGCTTTTTTTTTTTTTTTTTTTTTTTTTTTGTATTTTTAGTAGAGATGGGGTTTCTCTATGTTTCCCAGGCTGGTCTTGAACTTCTGAGCTCAAGTGATCCACCCACCTCAGCATCCCAAAGTGCTGGGATTACAGGCATGAGCCACCCCGCCTGACCTACTTTTAGGATATTTAAAAGGAAATGAAGAAAAAAAAAACAACATAAGAAGCAGGTATTGTTTAGTGGTCAGCATCTTATACTGCAGTCTTCAACCGCAGTCAAGGTAGCTTTCTTTGGAGAGAATTAGTCACACATGACTTAGAGAACATGGGCTTTCTGAATGCTTTTAAGACCTCATTTTTGTCTTTGGTGTTCTGCAGTCACTATAGTATATCAAAATACGATTTTCTTTTATTCTGTTTGGGATTTGTTGGACTTTCTGAAACTGAGAGTGGACTTTTTTTTCATCAACCTTGGAAAATTATCAGCCATCATCTCTTTTAATATTCTCTTTCCCCCATGTTCTCAGTCCTCACATTCTGGACCTCGAATTAGTTACTAGAAAGAGGTTTCTCTCTTCTGTCCTCCATTTCTCTCACCTTCTTTTCATATTTTCAATTGCTGTTCTCTTTATGCCACCTTCTGAGTAATTTCTTCAGGTCCCTCTTCCATGTCACTAATTCTGTCTTCAGTTTATTTCAAGTATTATTATTTTTTACTATTGTTATTATTTTGAGTTCTATTTAATTACTTTTCAAATCTCCTTAATTTTTAAATAATTATCAGTTCTTTAATCATATTTTAAATTGTTCCTTTTATTATTCTTTAAATATATATTTAAAATATTAAATATGGTTATTATATTCTATGTCTCATAATTCTGATATCTGCGGATTTTGTGTGTCTGATGCTGCTGTCTTTTGTTTCTGCTGTCTCTCTCATAGTGCTTTTTTTCTTTGTTTTGTGATTTTTGACTATAAATTCGAGTTTTTTAGAACTTGAACTGTAGGAATTCTTTGAGGCCTTGGGCGAGTGCTGTATTCTCAGCATTTGTGTTTCTTTTCTAGGTGCCTTGAAGCACTATCAAGCTGGAATTACTTTAAATAAATTCTTGGCTTCATGTTTTTTGGAGCAGACAGATAGTATGAATTTGAGCTGCAAATCCATGTAAGGGCTAGCTTACAGTTAGAAATTCTCAGGAGAGAGTTTTCTCTCTTTCTACCTACTGAGACAGTCAAATTCCCCTTCTATAGAGTTGAATTTTTTCTTTTCTTGTTCACTTTTACAAGAAAGGGCAGCCTTTTGCAGTTCCCAAATTTATGCACGGGATCTCCTATCAGACCTTATACATTTTGTCCCTCATTTCCTATGCTTCCAGTGACTGTCAAAACAGTATAAAGGGCACCATAGTGTCACTGTCACGTTTCATAGGGACATTAGTTTTAACTTCCCTGTCTGGATTTCTGGTTTTACAGAACTTTTAACCAGTGTGCAGATTGCCTTTACTTTCTTGCCATCTCATCAAAGGATTAAAAATATTCATAGTCAGATATATCTTTTAAAAGTATTTTTTTCCTATCACTGGTTGTCATTTTACCAAAAAAAAAAAAATTTTTTTTAAATAAAAAGAAGATTTTTTTTCCCAGCGTGTGGCTTGCCTATTTTCTTAACCCTCTTTAAATGAGCAGAAGTTTTAAGTTTTTATAAGGTTCAGCTTATCCTTTTTTTTTTCTTTTACAGCTAGTGCTTTCTGTGTCCTAAGAAATCTTTGCTTTGAGGTTATAACTCATTGGATATATTTTTAATCCCAGAATTTTTAGTTGTCTTGGAATTAGAATTGGAAGTTTGTTTAGGGGAGCCAGTCCTCAATGATGTCATAAATAAAAGTCCTTCCTTGATTATTTGATTGCATATCTTATCTTATACTACTAGAAACTCATCTTTTGGTGAATATAACAAGTCCTTTCTTTCCTCATAGGTTCCAGGAGAAGGAAGACTCTTGACCTTTTTCCTGGGCAACTCTACAGTCCCTCCCTCCTTTCGGAAGGTGAAGGATACTGGGTTTTTAGATGCCTTGTCCATCCTGTCTGGTTGCAATGTTTTGCTCCCAGAAGAGAATCAGATCATCATGTGGGGATTACCATTGTTCCTGGAGTACTCCTACCCTTAGTTGAATTTCCTTATTAAAGTTATATTTTTCTATAAGACCCTGACATATGTATGTTACTTATAATCTGTCTTATTCCAAAAGGAATTTAAATGAGTTTCCAGAGATATATTTATATGAAAAAGAAAAGGGGGAAAAATTAGGACAAAAAAGTAGAGTCAGGAATGAGGCTAATATAAACAAAAAGCAATTGTAAGTATTGCCATACTATTTAAATCTATTTGGTTCCTGAGTTTAGGTTAAGAAAAACTAGGAATTTGGATAGTGAGACATTTAACAGAAATTTTAACCAGATCTCTTTAGCATATAAATTTGGACAACAAAAAATCTGATACTAAGTAATGCCACTAAGTGATCACTATAGGTGAGTATTTTATTAGTATTGAGATAAATACAATACACAGTTGACCCTTGAACAACACAGGTTTGAACTGCTTGAGTCTACATATATGTGGATTTTCTTCTACTTCTGAGACCCATAAGATAGCAGCACATTTAAGCCCTCCTTTTCCTCCTCCTGAGCCTACTCAACATGAAAATGTGATCCACTTCTACTTAATGAATAGTAAATATATTTTCTTTTCCTTATGATTTTCTTAATAATGTTTTCTCTAGCTTACTTGATTGTAAGATTATATGTATTATAAGTATATAATACATATACAAAATATGTGTTAATCAACGGTTTATGTTATTGGTAAGGCATCTGGTCAACAGTAAAGTTTTGGGGGAGTCAAAAGTTATATATGGATTTTTGGCTGTTCAGAGGGTCAGCACCCCTTACCCCCATGTTGTTCAAGGATGAATTGTATATCTATTATAATAGATTCTTATATAGAAAGAAAGAAAAAAGTAAAGTCACAAGGAATCCTACTCCACAGAGATAACCAAATTATACTGTATATCTGTGCTTGTGTATATGTATGTGGCTCTGTATATGTGTGTTGCTATATATGTGTTTGGTTTTTTTAATGGACTAGACATGCTGAACTATATCTTGCTTTTTTCTGTTTGAACTAAAAACTTTCAAGGGGAACAAATGCATACTCAGGTCCCGCATTCCTTGGCTCAAATAGTGATCAAGGGGTTACTGTAATAATTATCATATAATTGTGTGGCCCTTTATATATATTCAGAGCTCTCAAACATAGCTATCTTGTTTGACCCCCACAGCAACCTGGAGAATGGGCAGGGCAGTCTTCCCCACTGTACGTTTGAACTGTTCTGGCAGTTGACTTTCCTGACCCACTCCTGAAATCTGAAACAAACCTGTTCATGTTTCTACCCTACTTTAAGCCTTTCTCTGGCCCATAACAGTGATTGGATTAAGCTTAATTTCTTAGCAAAGCATACAGGTTCTTCCATATAACCACTGCCTACCTGTCAAGCTTCATCTGGCACTCCCTCAGATCCAAGCGGTACAAAACTCCATTTCCTGTAGTGCACACATCTACAACTTTTTAAGCTGCTCTTCTAAAAAAACCTACTTGTCGGCCTTCCTGGTTCTTGTTTTACCACTTTCTTTTGCTCTCTAAGAAACGTGCATATATTTTTATAAAATAGCCTATACTGTAATTTACGACCATTTCTCTGCTTCATCCTACTCATCACCCCAGAGAGAACGAATATGTTGGCAGTATGTAACTACATTCAGATTTACAAATCAGACATGGCATTTGTTAATGCCCCAGTGTTTCATATTTTTGTTAGTTTTCAGCATGCCTGTCTTTCCTACTAGAGCTAAAAGGCAGGGTCTGAGCGTCTTACGCGCCTCCATCTTCAAGGCGTAGCACAGTGACTGAAAAAAACTGACGTTGAACGTGCACTAAACTGAACTGCTCAAACACCTACAGGCACAGGGCGAGGGGTAGAACCACATCGCTTGACTCTTAAGTGTGTTTCCAACTGCTCCCACTTCCCGTTTTCTTTAGAGAAACCCAGACCAAACAAGGAAAGGGAAATAGGCCACGGTAGGGTCATTACTATTGCTCCTTAAGCTTCCTCGCCGGTCCACCTACCCAGACAAGGCAAACGGAAATCTGCAGCAGGACTCAGCTTGGTGCACACAACTCCGCCCTCGCCACACCCACTCTGCAGCGTCTGGCCCGGCAATACCCATCTGGGCGCCCCTCCTGCTTCCTCTAGGCTGTGAGTACGCGTGCTGCCCCAGACTCTCCCTCCTCCACCCACACCCGCAGTGACACCCCTTCCGCCAAATTTGTTTCTCTTTCTTTCAGCGCCTGCGCGCTGTCACGTTACGGCGGAACTAATCCAGCGACGCCTGCGCTTTGACGCATTTGGTGCCGTGGAAGGGAAAAAGGGGGACTGCAGTATGCGTCACACCCGGAAGCGGCGAGCCGGAAGTGGGGTTAGCCAGGTTATCCCCAGGGGTGGAGAAGCGGAGGCCCAGGAGGAGGGGGAATAAAGAAGGTGGAGGATCCTGGCTACCACTCTGAATCCGATACCGCTTCTCTTAGACCTCAGCGACAGAAAAAGGGAAGGGTGTCTCATCCCCCTTCCTCCTCTCCTCCCTGTCCTGAGCCTTAGCCATGGCCGAGGCAGGGGCTGGGCTGAGCGAGACCGTCACTGAGACAACGGTTACCGTGACAACCGAGCCCGTGAGAAAGGCGGGGGGGCGGTGCTGTTTAGGGGTCTGGGAGATACTGGGAGGGAGGGGACAGGGATTAGAAGAGTTGTTGGAGGAGCTAGGCCTAGGGATATGGGAGGTGTGGGGTTGAATATCTAGGGCTGGGAGAATCGGAAGGTATTGGAGCTATTTGGAGTGGCAGAGATGGTGCAGGAGGCAGGTCAAGGAACTTGTAATAGGGAGGTACAGTTAGGATATAGGTGTTGCTGCTTGGGGTGGTTATGTGTGTAAGTAATAAACGAAAGGGAAATTGAGGATTAAGGAGCCAGGAAGATGTTGGGAGGAAATCAAAGGTAGTGTAAGAAAGCATGGTTGGAGGCCAACTTATCAATATTATCAATATTGATATTCGAATAAATATTTATTGAATGGATGAATGTAAAAGGAAGTGGCAGGAATGAGGAAACAAGAAAAGGAGATGAAAAGAGGTATTTTGAGAAATCAGAGAGCAAAGATGTAAATGGAGAAACAAGAAGTATTTATCCAAAAACATGTTAAGTTGCCTTCAAAGGGAGAAGGTTGCATTGGGCTTAATACTCTTGGATTAAAGGAAGTTTAGTAATTAATAGATTAGTAATACTTGCTACTAGAGATGCCAGGATGCCAGAGAATAGGTGGATAAGAGGTAGGGAGGGCTGGAGCTTGAGAATGAGAGAGGTTTTGTTTGTTTTTTTAAGAGAAAAAGAATAGGGGATCTGGAAAAAGGAAGGGAGATCAAAGATTAGGTGCTGGGGACTGAAAAATAATTTTCATGTATTAATACTACCAAGGATGATTTGGGGAGGAAGACGGAGAAACAGCAAGGATTATATTTTCCTTTGAAGAGTTGCTGGGACCTTTCCTAGGTTAGGAATTGTGTCTTCTCTTATACTGGTGGTATAAGAACAGGAAATAATACTTATTCCTCAAGGGACTATCTGAGGTAAAAGACCTGTTCTGTTTTATCTTCTGTCAGCTCCTCTGGTGCTATGCCTATGGTACTGATTGAGCTAAAGAAGAAAAGAGAGGAGGTTCCCTGGGAGGGAGTGGGAAAGGTTAGTAAGAGGGGACTAGATAGGTATGCTCATCCTTAACCTTCTAGGAGAACCGGAGCCTTACCATCAAACTTCGGAAACGGAAGCCAGAGAAAAAGGTAGAATGGACAAGTGACACTGTGGACAATGAACACATGGGCCGCCGCTCATCCAAATGTGAGTAATTGTTGGCCCGCAGTAGCCCTGGAGTTCTGGCTCCCTTCAGCATATCTTGTATCTACTCATATCCACTGGCTTTCCAGAAGCCCCCAGATGTTCATAGTTCTGTCACTTTTTTGGTGGTGCTGTGGTATCAGGGAAAGAGGTAGGGAAGGGCTAGAACTGGAATTGCCTAGGTCTGACAGCAAGAAGTGTCAGAGGTGGGAGAAGTGGGGCTTTGAATTCGTGGCTCTCTAAGAGGACAAGAGGGGTGGGGCCTGAGTCCCAGAGGGTGGGCCTGGGGAAGCTGGATCCTGGAAGGTAGGAGAAAATAGGAATTTTCACTGAGTTTGAGTGGGAATGGAACTGACTATATATCTTACCCTTCCTCCTCTTTAACTGGGCTCCTCCCTCTAAATCTAGGCTGCTGTATTTATGAGAAACCTCGGGCCTTTGGCGAGAGCTCCACGGAAAGTGATGAGGAGGAAGAAGAGGGCTGTGGTCATACACACTGTGTACGTGGCCACCGCAAAGGACGGCGTCGTGCAACCCTAGGACCGACCCCCACCACCCCTCCCCAGCCTCCTGACCCTTCCCAGCCCCCTCCAGGGCCAATGCAGCACTAAATCCCTCTCTCCTCCAGCATTCCTGTGTCTGTCTGGCCCTAAATGTATCCATGTGGCTACTTCTCCAGCCCCCTCCTTCCCTCTCTTCTGCCTGATAGAGGGAAGAGGAAGAGGAGGACGAACAGAGATCCTGAAATTCTGACTTGCTGCTATTCCAGAACCCAGCCTCCTGGGTTTCCCCAGTCCTCATTTTTCCTCCCAATACCCACCCTTCTCTCTCGAGGGATCT
Source organism: Homo sapiens (assembly GCF_000001405.40). Classification (NCBI taxonomy): domain Eukaryota; kingdom Metazoa; phylum Chordata; class Mammalia; order Primates; family Hominidae; genus Homo; species Homo sapiens. The sequence goes on from NT_167245.2 coordinate 1,325,452, forward strand.
AGGCACCTTGGTCCCAGTGTCTTCCTTTTGTTCTCACTGCCAAACTGCCTGTCCTGGGATCTAGTTATCTTGGCCCTGCACTCTCAACATGAGTAGCGAACACTTAAATTGGGTTTTCAACAGTCCCAGCTTTCACTGCCAGGGTCCCAGTCAGATTCCAGGAATTTGCGCCCTAACTTTGCTTGCTAATCCTGGTTTAGAGCTATCCCACTAAAATATTTAATCCTAATTCTTAGTCCTTGCCTGTGAGATATGAGGTCTTACAGGAGACCTCAGAGCTCCCAGCCCTTCTCCTCCTGCTAACCCTTCTCACACCCTCAAGAGGAGTTAGAAAAGAGGTCCTTGTCATTCTCACCTCTTATGGAAAATGGAATAAGAAATAATCATATCCTTTCTTCCCACCCTTCTCCTGTTATTTAGGATTTCTGACAAAGCTGGCTTGAGATTGGTCACTTAGAGCCGACTGTCTCCTCTGCCTTTTGTTTTTCAGCTTCAGAGACAGATCCAATATAGTCCCAGGGACCTGGGTCTCTGGGAGAGGAAGGAAGAGGGAGGGAGCAAAGAGATTGGGGTATGTCCCCTGTAGTACACTCTTACCTCTTACTTCCTAGACTTTGATTTCTCCGGCAGCCCAGATGTTCAGTTCTCTTGGCCCCTCTCTACCCCTTACTGGGATCTGGTTTTCATTTTCCGGTCCTTTTGCCATACACAGTTACAGAGATCAGTCAAATCCATACCACCACTGAGATCTCATTTATTGCCACAGATGCACAAAATAAATAACCCAAAATCACAAAATGTGTTAAATATGGGCCCATTTATACTTATGGGGAAGGGTGTGAGACTATACACAAGGATGAGTTTGGAGATGTCTGAAGTATTCCCAGGTTGAGGAGGAGAGAGGGGAAATAGCACCATTGGTTCCTTTCCGTGAGTATGTGCGGGGAGAAGTTTCAAGAAGGTTCTTATGGAAAAAAGGCTGTGAGCATAGAAAGCAGTCATAGGAGGTTGGGGAACTAGCTTGTCCCTCCCCACCCCCGGATCCTGCAAAAGAGGTACAAAGCTTCCCAGAGGGCCACAGGGCCCAGACCAGAGTCAAGCCTCTTGTTTTAGGAGAAACCTCAGTGGACAGGCAGGGTAGCCCAGTCCTTAGATCTGTGGGGAAGGCCCTGAGCCCTTCTGGAGCTAGGAGTGGCAAGAGTGGGAGTCAAGTATTTGACCAGCAGAGCCTCTATGTAGGAATCATGGTCACTTTACCAATACTGATGGGGAGGGCCTGTTCCCCATTGCAGGCCTAGAATGGTTTGAATGGGAGAAGTCAGGAAGTACTGTAGTAGCTGTAGGGGAGAGAAGATTCTGAGAGCCAGAAGGCAGGAATGGATTTGGTTTTGAGCAGGGACGTGGAAACGTGGAGACCAGGTGAGGTCTCATTATTTTGGGGCGAAAATGTGGGTTGCTATTAATACTCCTGCAATGGGCGTGTGAATGTGTTCCCAGAAATGAGTGGGGAATTCCACCCCCAAAAAGCAGCTGCAGGGCCAGTGGCCGGGCCAAACTTCTAGTTGGAGACGAGACTCAGCTTTCCGCTGGTACAATGCGGAGCGGAGCACGAGGGTCGCAGGTGCAGAACAGCGGGAAGATGCGCTCCCCCAGGGGGCCAGGCGCCTGGAAGGCGTAAAGCAGGTCGAGTGAGCGGCCGTCGTAGAAGGCCACGCGGCCCCGCTCCCAGTCCAGGTCCACGCGAATGCGCCGCGGCGGGGGCTCAACACCGCCCAGCAGGGTGGGTTCGGGTGCCGTGAGGGCCCACAGGCGGCCGCCGCGGCCCTCCACGGCCCACACGGCCCCCGCAGGGCACAGCCTTACGCAGCCCTTGCGTTGCACTGATTCCCCGGCCGCGCCCACTGCATAGTGGCTCTCCTCGTCGTCCGCATCCTCCCCAGAAGAGTCTCTGCAGGAGGCGGCGTCCGCAGTCTCCACCTCCCAGCAGTGGCGGCCGGCCCCGAAGCCCTGCGCACCCAGCACAGCTGGGAGCTGATCGAAGCGCTTGGGGCCGTCAGGGGGCGCGGGCGTCCCTGGTGGGGCCAGTTGTACGCTGCGGCGGTCGGCGGAGATGAGCAGGCGGCGGTGTGCGGTCCCAGGGTCCAGGGTCAGGTCGGCTGGAGACGGGGAGGCAGGGAGAGGACCTCATGAGAGAGTTTTCTAAATCACAGGCGGGGTAGGGTGGAGAATAGTCAACGAAGATCACGTAAAAGACTGAGAGCTAGTGACCACACAACAGCTCAAAAGGCGACTGCAGGACCAAAAAGAAGGAAGGCATATGAAGAGCAGACCTGGGCAATATCAGACCTTGTACTGATGCACCACTTCTGTAGAATTGGACCTGGGGAAGGATCATACTGGCCCAGTGCAGGGAGCACAGCAGGAAGATCAAATGAGAGGTTGTCTCGTTTGTGGGGTTGGGGGAGGAAGAGTGAGGCTGATCTGACTTCGAGGGAGGAGTAAGGACTGATACCTCAATCTGCATCATCTGGGGTGGGGCATGGGAGCTGGGTCAGCAAAATGGGGAAGGTTCATCTAAAGAGAAAGTCGTACTGATACTGGAACCTCAAGTAATGGGAGGGGCACAGGGAGGAATCCAAGGTATCCTGAGAAACCAGCCCACCCACCCACAGGAATTGGGGGGTGGGGTGGACAGTCCTATTTCTGTAGGGGTTGTGGGGCAGAGGAGGAGAGCAGGTGGTGATAGCCAGAGACCAGAAAAAGAACCATTGGCCTTATATGTATGGGGTGCTTTGAAGAAAAATTTCTGGATTAGGGGTGTCAGAAGCAATCTGGACTGGGCAAGATGGTGGATGACCAAGATGGTGGACCACCTTCTCTAGGCAGTTTAAAGAAGGGTAGAGGCACCCTTCTTCTTGGGAGTGAGTGAGGAAAGAAGGGTCAAGGAGATGCTGGGGTCCCCTTCCAGGGAGGAGTGACGAGAGGTGGTGGAAGCAGAGATTTTTGAGAGGCACCTAACCTTCAGGGATCTGTTGTTTGAATGTATGAAAAAGGAAGAGGGAAAATGGCTGGAATATGAGGAATCGAGGATAGACATTGTTATAGGCTGAACTGTGCCCTCCCCCACTCCACACACACACACAAAGATAGGTTGAAGTCCTCCAAACCTCAGAATGTTACCTTGTTTTGAAACAGGATCTTTACATAGGTAATCAAGTTAAAATGAAGGTCATTAGGGTGGGCTCTAATCCAGATTGCTGACTTACAAAAAGAGGAAATTTGGACACAGAGACAAATGCATACAAAAGAAAATGTGCAGACCTATCACCCAAAGAACATGTGAGGCTACCAGAGGCTAGGAGACAGGCATGGAACAGATTCTGTCTCATGGCCGTCAGAAGGAACCAACACTGCTGACACCTTGATTTCAGACTTCTACCTCCTGAACTTTGAGATAAATGTCTGTTGTTTCAGCCACCTACTTTGCGGTGCTTCATTAGAGCAGTACTAGGAAACTAATGCAGACATCAAAAAGGACCTGATCACTTTTTAGGGCTAAAAGGAAGAAAATCTAACACAGACTTTCATTCAATTCCCTTCCCTCCCTTCTTCTTTCCTTACCTGTCAGTCTATGAAGCATTTTTTTGACCACTGGATAATCTTCAGGGAGATCATCCTCTGAATTAGATGACTTGGATGTTGGGACTTCAAATCTACACAGATGAGGGGAAGGGTCAGGAAATCAGCCCTCTGATCCTAATGCCCCCACGCATACCCCACTCACATCTCTGGAGGAAGAAGGGATGAGACTATACCCCAGAAAACCTGCCTATTAATGGGAACAAAGGTGTGGGCCCAGTGAGAACGTGATGGCTATGGCAGCTGGTGAGAAAAGGAGGGAACAGAAAAGTGGAACTCACCGTCTCCATGTCTTCCTCATATCCTAGGATGGGCAGAAACAAACATGGATGTGAGCTCTGGGCTTCATTCCCTGGGGCATCCTTCCCTATCTCTCCCCTCCTCAGGTGAGTTCTGTCTGAGTTAGCAGTGTCCCTCCTCACCTTTCAGAGTGATCTCACCTCTTTACACACTGTGCTCCTTTCCCTCTCATTCTCCTCCTTCACCTTTCATGATCCCTCCTTCCTCTCACCCCATCACTTTTCCCTCATCCTCCTAACTCCATCCCCACTGTCCTCCCCCTTTCCACTCCCCAAGGGTTCTCAATTCTCTTTTCCCAGGCTCGTCCATGACTGTTTCTTGTCCTCAGAGCCCTTGCCTTCCTTGCTGCCTCCTCAGTCCCATTCTCTGTCTCTTTCAGCGGCCCCATCCTTATCTACCTTCCCCAGTGCATCCCAGAAAAACATCTGTCCCTTCCTCCCTCCATCACACAGACCAAACACACACCCAGAGCCCTCGGGCTAAGAGTTGGTATATAAAAGCCTTACAATAAAGCTGCTTCCCCTCTTGCAATAAAAGCCCAGTGGCATTTATTGGGCCCTTTGCTTTGTGTCTCTGGACCCTGGCCAGGGAGGCAGCTAGACTTGAATGTGTCCCAAAAGGCCCAGCAGATCCACAGAGTACTATGGGAGCCAGGAGAGGGCACTGGATGCTCCCCTCCAAACACTGGGATACCGACCCCTCCACTTCACTGTCTAGTGCTGATGGCTGGAGCAGGCCGATATGGTGGAGCGGGGGAGAGAGAAACAATTTGCATAATTGTGCCAATTACTTTCAGACTAATTAGGTCTATGAAGACTTCAAAGGGCAGAAGCAAGACCCAAGACCAGCTTGGCTGCTGGGAAGAAGCCAGTCAGGAGTCCCAGACGCCCAGGGGTCGGTCGGGCAAGGGAATGGGCTGGTTAGTGGCCAAGGAGCCGGGGCCCAGGAGAGGCGCGGTGGGTAGATGGGTGGTAAGACTGGGATGTGGAGAGGAGCCAGAGGCCCCAGCGGCTGTTCTCCCGCACCTCGCCTCCACCCCTGGCCGCTCCTGCCTGGGGCCTTGGGAGGAGCCGAAATAACAATAACAAACAACACAGGGCTTAGCTTGAGCCAGAGTCCGAGACCAACCCCCACGACGCTACGGGGAGGTTTGGATATGCCCCAACCCCTTGCTCCCTTCCTCCATCCTCTTGTCAGTCCCCTCCTCCCCAGCTTTTTCTCCGCCCCCAACCCACCAGCCCAGCCTCCTGCTCCCGCTCCTCTAAGCAGGTTCTGCCCTCGCCCACCATCCTCCCAGGACCCCTCCTCACCCTCAGCTGGGTCGGCTCTCCCTTCCGCCCGCCGCTCCCTCCCCTCCGCCAGCTCTCCTCCTCCCGGGCGCCTGCGGCTGCCCTGCCAAAACTTCTGCAGTTCCCATGCCCTTCGCGGCGACTCCAGGGCTCTCCGCGTTCTATCCGGTACCCCTTCTCTGCCTCCCCAGTCTCTTCTCTCCAGCCCCTCTCACAAGGCTCAGGCATCGGTCCAGCCTCCTCCCCTGTGGACCAAGTGTCAACTCCATCCATCGTCCTTCCGGGCGCCTCTCACCTTGAGGACCCAGGGTCCTCGCCCCCTCATCCTTTGCTTTTCTCTCCCCACCCCATCCTTTGCCTAAACTTCCACAGGGCCTCCGGCTCCAGACGTGCCATTCCCGGCTTCCCCGGGAATCTCCCGCTTCCACCAACAACTCCGCGACGCGCGCCCAGCCTCACCTCTCCGGGCAGGTCCAGGCAGCCCATGGTGGGGATGCGCCCCCCTCGGCGTCTCCCCGCACGGGCCCCAGGCTCAGCCAGCTTCTCTCGCAGCTCGCGGCTGATTCGCACCTCCACCGCCAGCCGCACATTAGACCTCAGGCTGCGGCGGGGACACGGCAGGCCGCAGCAGGGACAGGCGGTGGGGGAAGCCTCGGTGCCGGTCGCCGGCGGAGTCCCCCAGCGGCGGGCCAGACACGCGCGGCAGAAGCTGTGCTCGCACGCCAGAAGCACCGGGTCCTCGAAGGAGCCCCCGCACAGAGGACACGTCGCCAGCTGCTCCAGACGCTCCACCAGCCCCGGGCCCAGCTCGGGCGCATCCATGGAAAGCCAGGATCTGGACGCCGCCCCTTCCGCGACCACCGTGACCGCCTTCGAGCGCGCAGATGGCGGGCCGCCCCTGCTGCTTGCTGTGTAGATGCCCTTCTCTCCGACTCCCGCATTAACTTTTGCCGCTTTCCGCCCCTCTCCTGGGATTGCCTCTCTCTTCAACCAGAGTCTCAGTCTCGTCAAATCTCTCCACCACATCAGGCTTTATAGGGAGGGAGGAGGCTCCCACGGGAGGTAAACACCAGGCCTTGCGTAACGCCTCATCTGGTTCTCCTGCTTCCCGGGTAAGGTTTGGGGGAGCAGGGAGGGGAGAATAGCACACCTGGTTCCCAGAGCCTAGGAGGCGGTCACTAGAGGGCGCTCTGGGGCGGGGTAGCCCTGTGTGGGGAGGGTAGCCCCCTGTGACCCCCCGAAGAGCCCCAATTTTACCTTCCCCTCCGCCTGTGGTACGCGCATGGGCCGGGTGCCCAGGCTCACTCTTGGCATGTGCGCCCACATTGCCAAGGTGCGAGTCATTCCAGGTGGCTGGCACACCTACATCTGGGGGCTGGGGGCCGGAAGCACAGATCCTGGTTTGTGTGGCTTTGGCAAGCCTCTGAGTGTTGATGTGTGGTTTTCATTCCTGGTGCCTCTCGCCTTTCCATCTTCCTTCCTTACCTATTAAGGGCTTAAGGGCATTCTGCAGCTCTGGGGTAAGGGGTGGGGAGCAGGCGCCCACACTTCGGCCTCAGGGAGTCGGGGCAGAGCTCTTTCAGCTCTACCTCTGGCC